>NC_000006.12:95979880-96131396 GCF_000001405.40 Homo sapiens | reverse complement strand
GGTCAGTGCTGGCAACCACTTACAATATAAATATGGAAAGAGAAGGAAAGAAAAAATAAGTTGAAAATGAGAAAAATCAAGCTACTCGTCAAGGTGTTATTTGTACAATGCTAGATAGTTGAATTTTCAGAAATAGTCATTCATAATATGTTCTATTTTTTTTCACTTTTCTTCATGCAGGTAGTTACCATAACATTTATTTTGGAAAATAAATAATGTATAGCCTATTGTGATGATAATTTAGAGTAAAAGAGAAATAGGAACTCATAGAAGAAAAAATAATGCTAGCAGTACTTATTTAGAAAGGGCTCCTCCATACAAGCCAGGTAGTGGGTCCTGCACATAACAAATACACACCATCTTGTGTCATTCTCAAACCAACAGTGTAGGTGGTAATATTATTAACCCCGTCTTATAAGCAGGGACGACCACTATGGTGTACTGATTCCTCAAAAAGGATCAGGAGAAAATGTTAAATTTTGAAGAATTTCTAAAATAACTTGAGTTCAGAAATAGCTGCAGAGTAGCAAGCAATAAGTTTGCACTGCCACAGTAAAGAGAAAAGCAAAGCTCCAAGAGTTTCCTCGTACATTGTAAGAGTTTTAGAATGAGTCAGAAGAATAATGATCACTTTTTCTATTGCCAAACTAAGTTGGAAAACATGTGTATGTAGTTCAATTAAAATTGTGTCAAAGAAAACAAATTTTACTGTATTATCTTGAAGGAGGAAAAAGAATTACTTTTGTAACCTTTAAAAATAATATGTAAAAACAGGTTGGGTATTCATAATTATAGCAATGATCAAAGTGCTTGAAAGTTTCACTCAGGCTCATGAATTGCAGTTAATCTACAGAATTTCTTTAATGTCCAAGAACAATGTCTCTGCTTTTTAGAGAGATATTTTCAAAAAAGGATGGGAGTTAATTTAATTTTTAAAGCACTAAATGGAGCCCATGTTATTGTGTCACTGAGACATTCAAGATGATGGTGGGGAGAGAATATAACTAATGGCATTATTAATGTGACATTAGCATTCACACCAGGTTACATTTTTACTTCATCTTATTTAATACATGAAGACAGGTGAAGTTTCTTATAATATTTATAAAATTACATAACAACTATCTCTCATAGCAGAGAAAGTCAAATTTTAACTTATTTTCCTTTCTTAAATTTATTTTTAAAATTAATTTTTCTCATACTGCCTTGTCTAAGATTCTTTTTCTTTTTACTTGTCAAGTAAAAAGTACTTTTCAAATATAAAGTTAAAAAATTTATCTCCCAAAAACCATGCTGAGATTCGTACCCCCTCTCCCACCTCCCAATGTTATTTTATTGAGGAGGTTCTGATTATTTGTTTCCAACTGACGTGTAATTTATATAAAATTTTGATTCTAGCCAAAGCTAAGCCCTACAACTGTGGTAAAATTAATTTTTTTGAAATTTAATTAAAAAATTCAAGGCATAACAGGAAAAATGTTCAAAAATGCCCACCCTTCAGAACACTATCACTAATTGACTGATAATTCATCAAATCTTTTCTGAAAACATTTACTCACTTCAGTTATACTACCTGTATTTGCATGACTTATAAGAACTATGAAAGTAATAGAAGAATATATTTTTATTATTAAAATGTAAATAATTCAAGTGTATATAAAATAATTAATACCAAATTTTAATACTAAATACCAAATTAATACCAATTGCCACTCTTTCAACCCATTCTCTTCCCCAAGAGGTAACCACTTTTGTTTCAGTGTGTCATATATCCTTTTAGAACTTTTTCAAAACTTTATACACATTTGTATATATTTAGATATATTTATACATATATATGATTTTTAAGAGAAAATTGAGACTCTTCTGTTTATTTTATTCTGAGACTTGCTTTTTATAGTGAATAGTTTGAAGCTGTTTTATTTTTTATTTTTATTTTTTGAGACAGGGTCTCACTCTGTCACCCAAGTTGGAGTGCAGTGGCACAATTGCAACTTACTTCAGCCTCGAAGCCTCGAACTTTCTGGGCTTAGGTGACCTTCTCCCACCTCTGCCTCCCGGATAGCTGGGACCACAGGCACATGCCACCATGGCTGGTTGTTTGTTTTTTTTTTTTTTTTTTTTTTTTTTTTGAGACAGAGTCTCATTCTCTCGCCCAGGCTGGAGTGCAGTGGCGTGATCTCGGCTCACTGCAAGCTCCGCCTCCCAGGTTCATGCCATTCTCCTGCCTCAGCCTCCCCAGTAGCTGGGACTACAGGCGCCCGCCACCACGCCCAGCTATTTTTTTTTTTTTTTGTATTTTTAGTAGAGACAGGGTTTCACCGTGTTAGCCAAGATGGTCTCGATCTCCTGACCTTGTGATCCGCCCGCCTCGGCCTCCCAAAGTGCTGGAATTACAGGCATGAGCCACCACACCCGGTGGCTATTTGTATTTTTTTGTGGAGATGTTTCACCATGTTGCGCAGGCTGATCTTGAACTCCTGGGCTCAAGAGATCCTTCCTACTCAGCCTTTCAAAGTGCTGGTATTACAGGTGTGAGCCACTGTGCCTGGCCCTTTAGTTTGATATTTTAATCTGTCTTTATATATTCACCAAGTTATTTTCAATGGTTGCTTAGCACTGATTGGTAAGAATATATTATTATATATTTTACTTTTCTCCTATTGATGGACATTTTGATTATTTTTAATACTTTGTCATTCTAAATTTGCAATAAACATTTTGGTGAAGGCTTCTTAGTGGTGCATACAAGTGTTTTTGATGAATAAATTACCACAGGTAGAATTACTGGGTCAAACAATATATGTTTTTAAAATTTTTGTAAGTATTACCAAATTTATGAACATACCAGTATGTTATCCAAAAGGGTCCAACTTGCTTCACCTGGAATCAAATTTTCCACAACACTTAATAACGATGAATGTTATGAACTATTTAATACAGTACAAATGAAAAAGTGTCCCATTAGACCACAAAATTGCATTTGTCAGGTAATTAATTGGTAAGGTTGGACATTATTGTCTTTATTGGGATAATTTTTATTTCCTTTGTGAAATGACTATTCATACTTTATTTGCCTCTTTTATTATGGCATTTTGGATAATTAATTTGTGAACACTCTTTACATATTACAAAATTAAGCCTTTGTCTAATTTTGGGGGGAACATTTTCTCCCAGATTTTTAAATTTAAAGACAAAATTAATTTTGTTTATAGTATCTTTTTTTGTTATACTGAAGTTTTGATAATTAGGTAGTTGAATCTGTTAATTTTAAAAGTTTATTGCTTGTTAAATTTGGCTTAAAAAGCTCTTTACAATTTTCTTTTTTAAAAGAGTAGTTTCAAAAATTGACAAGTGGAATCTAATTAAAATAAAGAGCTTCTACACAGCAAAAGAAACTATCAACAGAGTAAACATAAAATCTATAGAATAGGAGAAAAATATTTAAAAAGTATTTATCTGATAAAGGTCTAATATCCAGAATCTATAAGAACTTAAACAAATTAACAGGCAAAAAATAAACAACCCCTTTAAAAGTGGGCAAAGGACATGAACATAGACTTTTCAAAAGAAGACATACACATGGCCAATAAGCATATGAAAAAATGCTCAACATCACATTAGAGAAATGCAAATTAAAACCACCATGAGATACCATCTCATACCAATCAGAATGGCTACTATTAAAAAGTCAAAAAATAACAGATGCTGGCAAGGTTGAGGAGAAAGAACACTTATACACTGCTGATGGAAATGTAAATTAGTTCAGCCATTATTGAAAGCAGTTTGGGGATTTCTCAAAGAACTTAAAATTACCATTAAGCCCAGCAATCCCATTACTGGATATATAACTAAACAAAGATAAATAATTCTACCATAAAGACACATGCGCAGGTATGTTCACTGCAGCACTATTCACAATACCAAAGACACGGAATAAACCTAAAAGCTCATCAATGATAGAATGGATAAAGAAAATGTGGTACATATGCAACATGGAATACTATGCAGCCATAAAAAAGAATGAGATTACATACTTCGCAGCAACATGGATGGAATTGAAAGCTATTGTCCTAAGAAACTAATGCAAAAACAAGAAACTAAGTATCATGTATTCTTACTTATAAGTGGGAGCTAAACACTGAGTACACATGTACACAAAGAAGGGAACAAAAGCCAGCCACTGGGGCCTACTTGAGGGTGGAAGATAGGAGGAGGGTGAGGATTGAAAAACTACCTATTGGATACTCTGCTTATTACTTAGGTAAAGAAATAATCTGTCCATCAAACCCCTGAGACATGCAATTTACCTATCTAACAAACCTGCACGTGTACCCCTGGACCTCCAATAAATGTTTAAAAAAACAGTAGTTTTTAACAAAAGAAATTATTAATCCTCAGACAAATAATAACCTGAAACCATTCTTAATAATAGTTTTCCATGAATTATTTTGGTTGATAAGCCTTGACACTTAGATTGAAATTTTCTGCTCAATTATTTAATATTATTACAGATGGCTCATTTCCATTTTAATCATCACTTTATATTTCTCATTCACTGCCTGGCCATGCTATAATCTCCACAGGGAAGTTAAAGAATACAGAAATGATATTGCCTCTACCTCCATTGAAAGTATTTAGGTGAAATAAGTATGTTTATAATAGTAAATAACATGAATTAAAGTGTAGTTTGAATTTACAAACCTGTGTATATAAAGACCAACTCAATCTCTTAGTCTGACGCAGAGGCAGAGAATCCTTTGCCTTAAAATGCACTGAAGTCTAACAACTCATTGCATGTAATTGATAATTTGCAATATGTCCTGGATCTACAGAATAGCAAAACTATGGTATAAATAGTTTTCTGCTTTGTTGAGTGAGTGCTTTGAAGACCTAAGAACTTTAGGGAAGCAAAGAATGACATCTTGTTGGAGGCGGGGCCTGAAGGGAGGTGTTTTGGTTATGGGGGCAGATCTCTCATGAACTGTTTGGTGCCTTCCTGGCAGTAATGTGTGACTTCTTGCTCTAGAGCTGGTTGTTTAAAACAGCCCAGCACCCTTTCTTCTTGCTTGCTCCCTGTTTTGCCATGTGACACACTGGCTCTCCTTGCCTTCCTCCATGAATAAAAGCTTCCTGAGACCTCACCAGAAGCTGAGCAGATACTGGTGCCATGGTTCTTGTACAGCCTGCCGTACCATAAATTTCTTTTCTTCATCAATTACCCTATCTCAGGTAGTCCTTTACAGCAATGTAAAACAGACTAATGAAACATACAGAGGCTGTGGACGAGTTTTAACCTGCGCCGACATGAGAGAGGCTTAAGCACTATTGGGGGTAGAAGAGGAGGGAGGCATATCAACCCTGAAGACAGCACAAAGAGGGAGGAAAAACAGGAATTGAGGTCAACCTTCACTCGCTGAAAAGCTTAAATATTGTGTGCATGTGTTTTTAATTCCCTAGAGCACTTGGTGGAGAACCTGACAGTAAAATTACAAAAGAGAAGCATGAATTAATGACATAGAAAAGAAAGCAGCTATAATGAAAATAAACGAAGGCAGGATCTAGCTCTAAAATGCTTTTAGGAGAGTTAACAAGATCCTTTGAAAATGAGCTGGGTAGTAATGGATCATGGTTCAAGCAGTGGCCAAGTAGCATTTTTAATGAAAGGAAACTGAATGCATTTGATTATTCACTGTTGCATGGGGCTCTGAGGGTGCAGGTGGAGGTTCAGAAGACTTCAATTCTAGCCCTGTTCCCTCCTACCTATGTATCCTTGACCCAACGACTTCATCTTGCCGAGCTGTAGTTTCCTCACATAAACATTAGAAATAATATTAATCCCTGTTAGATAATTGTAAAGACTGAGCTTACATTTATTAAGTGCCGACACAGTGACTTACACATAGACAATACCAGATTTTAAAATGCTAACAGTTATTGTTATTATAATGATTAAGTACTTCTGTAATCAATATCACATTTCAATTTGCCATTGCCACAATGTAATTAAGGTAGAGAAGGAATTATTCTTATCCCTAAATGAACAAGATAAGATAAACTGACTTGCCTCATAAGACGACAAAGACATTGAGCTTTTGACATTAGGCCTCATGGATCTTTTGGTTATGCAATTTGGAAGAACAGTCAACATAGTAAGAGATAATAAGAAATAAACACAAGATTTAACAATTATGTAGCTCCTCCTGGGTAGAAAGAGTATGCTATTTATATGTTTTCTATACATGATTTCTTTACATCATCATTACCATCCCATGTACTAGAATTCCTATTTTACAGATAAAGGAGGTGAGACCCCTATAGCTTAAATTACTCATGTAAGATTACATCAGCCAGCAAATGGTAAAAATAGGAGTCTCTTGTTATTCTGTCTGAACCTAGAATGCAAGCTCTTTTCATGAGGTCAGGCTGAAATGAGTCATCTGTTGATGGTGCTGGAATAGGTTGTAGAACAGTAAGACAGAATGCAAGATAGAGACATTATTTGGAATAAGTTAACCAGGACGAATGTCACTAACACATTTTTCAAAAATAAAAAATTATACATCTTTTTGGAAAGTTTAGCCAAAAGAAGAGAGAGGAAGAGTTATTTTTTGCATGGTGGAAGAATGGGGGTGGAAGTATAATGAGAGAAGCCAATATTTCAGAAACTGAATGTCATTTAAAAAAAGAAAAGGAGGCGTACAAAATTGTTGACTATGGAGGAGAGCAAAATTCAGGAGGATGAGAGTCAGAAAAAAATTTAGAACTGGCAGGGTCAGACTTCTGGGAGGAGACTAGAAGCCATTCTAGAATGGAATATAAGCAAGTAAGAACACAATTTATATTAAAGAGAGAGAAAATGCAAAAAAATGAAACAAAAAAACAAAAATAAAAATTAAAGATAATCACTAATCTATGTAAGCATGGATTTAGAGAAAAGCAGCCTTGGTCAGGCACAGTGGCTCACGCCTGTAATCCCAGCACTTTGGGAGGCCGAGGTGGGCTGATCACAAGGTCAGAGGATCGAGACCATCCTGGCTAACTTGGTGAAACCCTGTCTCTACTAAAAATAGAAAAATTAGCCGGTCGTGGTGGCAGGCGCCTTTAGTTCCAGCTACTCAGGAGACTGAGGCAGGAGAATGGTGTGAACCCGGGAGGCGGAGCTTGCAGTGAGCTGAGATTGTGCCACTGCACTCCAGCCTGGGCGACAGAGCCAAACTCTGTCTCAAAAAAAAAAAAAAAAGAAAAAAGAAAAAAAGAAAAGCAGCCTTATGAACTAAAATGTTTAATAAGCAGACATTTGTGATCCCACAAAATGTGTAATTATATAATTTCTTGACAATAAAATAGGAAATAAGTTTTCTTTAGCAATTTAACTAACTTACATAAAATGTGCTTACCTTTCCATCCTAGTTCTACTCCTCTTTTCAATGGGTACTACCTTTCCACATCTGTTTCACTGTTGGATACTGACACAGTATTTCTCAAGCAGAAGATTGCATTAAAAACAAGTTTCTAGTTATTTCCCCCTCTTCCTCATGAAAAGCCCTTGGCATTTTCCATCATTTCCTCTGTGATTTTTTTCTCATAAGTTATTTCAACTATAGCTGGAGAATAAAATGTCCCCACGCTCCTAGGAAATGATTGATATTTTTCTGTAGCTATGGTAGCAAGTAGTCACCAGAAGTGGTTTTAAAACTGCTTAATCAATGACAGTTCCAGAAACTATCAGAACTGATTTTACACAAAGTTGAAGAATTAATGGCTCTGCCTCTCAGTGAACATGCATTTGCAAGTCAACCAAATAGTTATAACCCTAACTTCCTAAAGTCAGTTAATCAGAAAAAGACTCACTTCAAAGAACACACTTCTGGAAGTTGATTAATCAAAGGAATTCTCACCTGAAGAACCATAGTTCTACAAATGACGTCAATACACTTACGCCTCTGGAAGTCAACCAGTAACTGAATTACACTCTTCCTCAAAGCCCTCTATAATATTAGCAGTCTTCCCTGCTCTGAGAGACTGTGCCTGACAATTATATTTTGCCCTTTTTAAAATAAGTGATCACTTCAGCATTGGGTTTTTTTGTTTAAGATATTGACAGCCAGTTTTTATTATTTTGCCAGCTGAACACTCTGGAAGTTAGTAATTCGTTCAACAGCCTCAGAAAGAATATATAGTCATATCCTTTGGTCAATAATTAGATTCTAGAAATTGGTCCAAATTGACACTATGCATAATCTTTGTTATGCATTTTTTTGCATTTAATCCTCACAATAGCTCTACAATATAAGCTTTTTTTTTTTTTTTTTTTTTTTTTTTTTTTTTTTTTTGAGACTGAGTCTCGCGGCTGTCTCCTAGGCTGGAGCGGATTGGCGCGATCTCGGCTCACTGCAAGCTCCCCCTTCTGGGTTCACGCCATTCTTCTGCCTCAGCCTCCCGAGTGGCTGGGACTACAGGCGCCCGCCACCATGCCCAGCTAGCCACGCCCAGCTATTTTTTTGTATTTTTAGTAGAGACGGGGTTTCACCGTGTTAGGCAGGATGGTCTCGATCTCCTGACCTCGTGATCCACCGGCCTCGGCCTCCCAAAGTGCTGGAATTACAGGCGTGAGCCACCGTACCCGGCCATAAGCTTGTTTTTATTTCCATTTTTTATTTGATGAAAGCAAAATATTTGACAAATATTTAAATTGAAGTGTTATTTATATATATATGAAAACTCAAGTACAATCCAATACCCAAGATAAGAAAAGGGTTAGGCAAATAGTCATTATAAGGGCACCTACAAAAAATGAACATGTTAAAATGTTTATGATTTGACACTGATTACAAAATCAAAACAAAATTATAACTATACCATGTAAAATTATGTGTACATACGGATTAGAAATAAAAGGAAACATAGGCAAATAATTCTGTGAATTTCTGTGGTGGTTGGATTCTGACTGGATTGACCTTTTAAATATTGCTTTAATGTTTGTGTAATAAGAAAAGTAACCTAAAGTGTAGTTTCTGCATTTGAGAGTTCCAGCCACCCATCCAATATTGTATTGGAAATTCCAATGCCCCATAAGATTTCTGAGAATTAAAGGGGTTCTAGACACTCCTGATTACTTAGGGTCCTGGACTTCTGCACTAGAGATTTCCAAATTCTATTCATGTGTTAACTACCATAAATGTTCCTTTTTCTCTGATTGCTTTGACCTGGATGTGAAACTGAGTCTCTTTAATTTCCCCTAAAATTTCATATAAGGCTCATGCAATGTTAGCAGAAGTTTTAGATGGAGAGCTGTTATATCATAGCAAAGTGCACAAGCTAATATTGAACACAGACCATCACTTTACTAAAATTCTCTTGGCTACCCAGCGCATCTCATCTTCTCCTGCTTGAAGACTTACTGATAAGTTTCTCTCACTTTATCATATAAAGCAGCTTTCCATCTTCAGTGTAAGCTCTAAATATAATGAAGATTTGATCTTGTGCTCTCATAAAATCAAGAGGCATATACTAGGTTTTACCCTTTAGCAACATAGAGATTTATTTTAAGGCAGATTATATTTCAAACACAAAAGTGGATGAATCATTATATTCATTTGGGGGATTTAAATGACATGAATTTAAGGTCACAAATTTTAAATTAGCATCCTACTGTGTTTAGAGTACAAAAGTGACATGAATTAAAAAGGAATGGTGGAACATACAAAGTAAAAGAGAAGATTAATTTTTTAATATGAAGAGATACAATATAGTTTAAAATAAACTGAAATTAAAAATCAAAAACCTATAGAGCGATAATTGACTTTATAAGGATAGCAAGAAAGCCCACGGGGTTAATATGCATGGTTTTAAATAAAAGTTTAGGGTATTTTTATCTGCCTCTACTTATTCTAACTACTTGATAACATAAATATTCACTCCACAGTGTTTTTCCTAGGGGGGCTAGTTCACTGTGAAGTGTTTTCTTGTCTCTTTGTAGAGTAGCTATAAGGAAATGATAGTCTCTAAAAATAAAACTTAAGAACAATTTGAAAATAATAAATTCAGATTTTCTTGACATCTTTGTTTACTAATTCTTTCCCCAGAGCATGTAATTTGAAGCATAGACTTAGAACTGCTTATATCTGCATGTTGAAAGTAAGGATATATCATTATAAGGGATAAGAAGAGAAAAGAATTTAAAGTAGTCACTATTATAGGTAGTCTTCCATAGACATTGATTTTGACCCTACTATCAAGGCAAAAGTAAATTAATGTTAATTTTTTAGTTACCAAAATAAAGCAGTAAGTTCTTCCAGGTGCAGAGGGTAAAAATACTGTATCCTCAATTTTCTCTGAAATTATTGGAGTTCCACAGGATTCTGTATTACCAACTATGTTCCTTAGGTCCTAGAAACAAGTAAGGATAAAATACTGTCCATGGTATGGAAGATATTGGACGGTATGTGTAAGAAAAATCCAACTATTTTTCCATCTATTTGTCCTACTCTATCCACCCGTGCATCCATCTATACTCCATCTACTTCTCCTTGTGGAGGAGAAAGATTTGAGACACCACCAAGACTCATTTTATGTTGCATATTGAATGGTCATCACAAACAGTGGAGCTCTGGAGCATCTCCCATAAGTGATTTCTTCCAGGCTACCCCAATTACTCCTAAAATTAACTGAAAAAAAAAATGTGCTTAATGTTATTTTGTTTAGAAGTCAAAACTGCAAATATTTTAAGTACCTGTTATTCACCAGGCAGAATAGTAGAAAGTCTTAGTACAGAAAAAAAAAAAAAAAAAAAAAAAAAAAAAGGTGGTCTTGCCCAGGCACGGTGGTTCACGCCTGTAATCCCATCACTTTGGGAGGCCGAGGCGGGCGGATCACGAGGTCAGGAGATCGAGACCATCCTAGCTAACATGGTGAAACCCCGTCTCTACTAAAATTAAAAAAAAAATTAAAAAAAAATTAGCTGGGCGTGGTGGCGGACGCCTGTAGTCCCAGCTACTGGGGGTGCTGAGGCAGGAGAATGGCGTGAACCCAGGAGGCGGAGTTTGCATTGGGCCGAGATCGCACCACTGCACTCCAGTCTGGGCAACACAGAGAGACTCCATCTCAAAAAAAAAAAAAAAAAAAGAAAGAAAAAAGAAAAAGTGGGTCTTATAAAAAGGAACTCTTCTGAATAGTCTTTTAAACAAAAACAAAACAAGCAAACAAAACAAATAAAATAGACTTCTACGATGGTAGAAGGACTTTAAATCAGAAAAAAATAAAATAATGAGAATTCTGAACATTAAATATGGTAGAAAATTCAAATAGATTTGATAATATTCTTTTCAAAACATATTTATGTATTGTAACAGATAACAAATGAGGGTTAAATATATAATGGATCACACTGATTTTGCATTTGCCTCCTATACCTACTATACTATTATTTGAAGGTATAGAAATTGTTTCTCTATTGGGTGTATCTTCTTTTATTGTTAATAACCCCCTCATATTCAAGAAGTTCCTCAAATAGCCTAGTAAAGTATTTTCAAATTACCTAATAAAATAAGCTCCCTTAGAAGTCATCATTGTGATTGGAAAGCAATAGGGAGAAAGCTTGATTTATTGATTAGTAAGAGTATGCTATAAATTTTCTTCATATTAAAACTGTGTGGATTATGAGATCACACTTACTTATAAAAATTGCAGCAGATGGGCATAGTGATGAAGGTATTAAAGGAAAGGATGGCAGGTTAGCTTGGCTTTATAAAATGACTTTATTTCCTCTGAGATACTATGTATAAATCTAACAAAATTGCAGCAGGGAACATTGTTATTTAAGAAAATACATGATGAATGCTTTTGTGAGACATAATTATTTTGAAGTAAAAAACACTTTATATACAGTCATGTGTCACTTAAAGATGGAGATATGTTCTGAGAAATGTGATGTTAGGTGATTTCATTGTTGTGCAAACATCAGAGAGTGGACTTACACAAACCTAGATGGTATTGCCTGCTACACACTTAGGCTATTGTTTCTAGGCTACAAACTTATAGCATGTTACTATACTGAATGCTTTAGGAAATTTTAACACAATGGTATTTGTATATCTAAACATAGAAAAGGTACAGTAAAAATACTGTATACAAGATAAAAAATCGTACACCTGTATAAAGCACTTACCATGAATGGAGCTTGCAGGACTGGAAGTTGCACTGGGTGAGTCAGTGAGTGAGTGGTGAGTGGATGTGAAAGCCTAGGACATTACTGTACACTACGGTAGACTTTATAAACACTGTACAAATGCTATATTAAACCTATAAAAAGGTTTTTCTGTCTTCAGTAATTTAATATTAGCTTATTGTAACTTTTTTACTTTATAGACTTAAAAAATATTTTTTAAGTCTTTGAGTTTTTTCATAATAACACAGCTTAAAACACAAACACATTGTATAGCTGTACAAAATAATTTCTTTCTTTAATCCTTATTCTATAAGCTTTTTTCCTATTTTTAAATATTTTTGTTTTTTATTTTACCTTTTAAATTTGTAAAAACTAAGATACAAACCCACACCTTAGCCTAGGTCTACACAGGGTGAAGATCATCAATATCACTGTCTTCTACCTCCATATCTTGTCTCACTGGGAGGTCTTCAGGGGCAATAACGTGCATGGACCTGTCATCTCCTATGATAACAATCCCTTCTTCTGGAATACCTCCTGAAAGACCTGTCTGAGGCTGTTTAATAATTAAGTTTTTTAAATTAGTAGAAGTACACTCTAAATAATGATAAAATATAGTAAATACATAAACTATAACATAATTGTTTATTATCATTGTTATGCACCTTATGTAATTGTACAGTATGTACTACACTTTTATACAACTGGAAGTGCAATAAGTTTGTTTACACCAGCATCATCACAAACATGTGAGTTGTGTGCTACTAAGTTCTGATGGCTACAAAGTTATTAGGAGATAAGAATTGTTTAGCTCTATTATAATCTAATGGGACCACTGATGTACATGTGGTCAATCATTGCCTGCAATGTTATGCAGTGCATGACTATATTTTGTAGTTCTTTTTTTTTTGGTTCTTGCATAGGATTTCCTTAAAGTGAAAGCATATGTGTGTCCAATATAACAGAAATAAATTAGCAATAATGATTTCCCAGTCCAGTAGGACTTTTTTTTTTTTTTTTTTTGAGACAGACTCTTACTCTCTTGCCCAGGCTGGACTGCAGTGGTGCAATCTTGGCTCACTGCAACCTCCAACTCCCATGCTCAAGCGATTCTCCTGCCTCAGCCTTCCCAGTAGCTGGGACTACAGGTGTGCACCACCACACCAGCTGATTTTTGTATTTTCAGTAGAGATGGGTTTTCATTGTGTTGGCCAGGCTGGTCATGAACTCTTGACCTCAAGTGATTTGCTTGCCTGAGCCTCCCAATGTGATGGGATTACAGGAGTGAGCCACCATGCCTGGCCTCTAGATGGGACTTTGAAGCTCAACAGGAAACAGACATTTCAGGTAAAAATTTTGAATTTAAATGTGAATAATAGTTTTTTAATGATATAAAATTTGCCAGAATTTTATTTAAATTAAGAGAAAGAGCTTGATTATTTCTGGAAATTGAAAACAAATAATTTAACAAATAAGAATATTTCCATATCGTGTAGACTTCTTGATGTGGTACAAGTTAAGATTAAGAATGAAGTAAGATTGTTCTATGTAGATGCTCCATCCTTTACAAACTGCTGATCCTAGGCAAGTCACTTAAATTCTCAGAGACTTTTCTTGTGTTTAAATAAAGAATTCTATTTGAATTTCCTACATTCCATGCTCACTCTAAGATTGAAGCATTATGATGTATATACAGAAACCTCTAAACTGAGCATGAAACTAAAATTTGGGCATGAGGCATGCTAATTGCTAATGTGGTATCACTGCTTCTAGAGCTTTTCAGTAGATAGAGCTAATAAATGTTATGTGTGTAGACCCATTTCTGTATCTATGTATTTTAAAATAAAAATAGATTCACAAATTAATATCTACATCTCTCATCTAGCAACGCAAGGTTAATTTTAGCCATCTCTCCTTGCTGATTATAACTTCTTTCTCTAGCAATGTGAAACCTATCTCCCAATATCTATAATTTATTTACTTATGCATTCCACCCTAATATACATGCAAAGTACTTTCATAATTGCTAACCTGCACTCCTTTGAAAAAAATCAACTAAAATACAATGTCTATGTATAGTTCTTTTTAGAGTTAGCCTCATTCTTTGCAGATTTTGTCCTTTCAAAATACTGTTTTCCAAAATATAGGCTAGATCCTTTGACTGCATCACCTTCAGTAAGTTTATATATTACATTTGTAAGATGGTTAGGTTCACTTGTCACTGTTTCCACCCCATTTTGGGATAATACATCCTATTTGTTTTCTTTCTTTCTTTTTTTAATGTGCATGCTGCAGAATTTACTCATTGTGTTGTACAGTTCTATGGGTTTTGATGAGCACAGTAATTTTTTCAGCACCACGGACAGTTCCACCCCCCTTTAAAATTTCCTCATGTAATCAATGATTTTGTAGTCAGCCCTCTTATAACTCCAACTCAATATATCTCTAACTTGGGCAACCACTGATCTGCTTCCCATCTCTATGTTTTGGCTTTTTCAGAATTTAAGATACATTGAATTATATATCTTAAATATGCAGTCATTTGGGCTTCCCTTCTTTCACTTAGCAAGATGCACTAAAACGTTCATCCATGATATGCATAAATCAATACTTTCCTTTTAAAAATATTTGAATAGTATTCCCCTTTATAGATTTACCACAGTCTGTTCATTCATTTACCAGCTGAAGACAACATATTAGTTATTTCCACATTTTGGCAATTGAAATCAAATTTTCTGTAAATATTCCCATATTGTTTTTTTGTGTCAAAAATGTTTTTCAATTCACTTGGGTAAATACTTATGAATGGGATCACTGGATCATATATTAAGTAAGCATTTAACTTCATAGGAAACTTGTACATTCCAAAGTGACTGTACCATTTTGAATTGCCAACAGTAATGAAAGTAATGAATGACAGTCTCTGTGGCTCTGCATGCTTATGAATATTTGATATTGTTAGATTTTTAATTCATTTATTCATTTTTAACAGGTATGTTCTGGCATCTTACTGTGGCTTTCATTTGTATCTCCTTAGTGAACATCTTCTCATATTCTTATTAGTCATCCATACATCTTCTTTGGTAAAGCTCAGATATTTTACCAGGAAAATTAGATTTACTTTCTTATTACGTTTTAAGAGTTTTTTATATATTATGGATACAAATCTTTTATCAGATACATGATTTACAAGTCTGATGCCTATATTTTCATTCTTTTAAGAATGTGTTTGATGGAACAATTTTTTTAAATGTTAGATTTTTTTTCTATTGATTTACTCATTGTAATGAGGAGGGCTGTGATCAGCAAATTCCTTTAGTTACAACAAAGCAAGTACATGGAAGCAAACAAAAAGCCCCCAAATTCCAACATGTATATAGCTTAGAAGTACACATTTGGTATATTTTCTTCTCTATAATTTCTCATAAACATGGGGTTCTGTAAAAATCCATTTTAAGTAATAAGTTTAGGGTTTGACTTTTTCTGTCATTGAAATTTTAAAGTCATGTGCTCCTTTGATGTGGTCTGAAGTTGGCCTTCAAAATTCATTAGGTAGCAGAACCGAAGCATTATATCAGCGGTCACCTGGAGCAGAGTTTCCAGTATGGAAACTACCAGCCACATGAGACAGCTGAGCACTTGAAATACAGCTAGTGTCATTGATGAGATGATTATCAATTTAAATTTAAAAACTGACACTTGATTTAGTTATTGGAACACTTTTAAATGTTTGTAGGACAATTTGGGTTTGTGAATCTACTTTTCCAACTGTAAATTTTATGAAGTCTAAGTATAGATCAAGTATATTCAACAAAACTTTAGTATCTGAATTGAGATGTGCTATAAGTACACACTGGATTTCAAGGACTTAGTGAGAAAAAAAGAATGCAAATTGTCTCATTCTTTTCTTTACATTAGTCATATGTTAAAATAACTATATTTGGAATGTACAGGGCTAAATAAATAAAATATATCATTAAGACTCATTTCACCTGCTTATTTTTACTTTTTAAAAAATGTGGCCATGAGAAAAATTTAAATAACATATGCAGTTCACATTATAGTTTTATTAGATAGCACTGCTATAAAATATGTATTAAATCATATTTTGTGTCACAATGCATTCAGAGTTCTGAAACAGGGATGTTAATAACCTATCCACCACCACCTGCAATTCTCTGACAGCTTTATATTCTCAGACAGGAGCTTCAGCAAAACAAGTGCTGGAGAGAATAGAGAGTAAGGCTTGAGAAGCGATTCTAGGTCTGACGGTATTAGGTGTTGTTAGGGAACAGCATCTCCTGACACCCTAAACATGCCTTAAATTGTAGGGACACTACTGATTCATGATGGGCTCCAGTCCATAGCTTGCTTTCATCCAAGGAAAAGGGATTGGGCTGTTTTATTTCTTTCTCATTGACATGAGTAACACTTATTGCTTTGTAGTATTTCTTAACTCAAAAACAAAGCACAGTATCCCAGAATTCTACCTCCTTCCTTATTTTTTAATCATGTGAAATGAACAGTAAGAGGTTCATATCTGTACAAAGACTACTTTTCTTTTTTTATTTAACTTATTAAATAAATTACATATATGAATATATATAGTAAATATATTCTTATATTCATATGTAAGAATGATTTATTGGTACAGGCATTATCTACCCCAAATTAAAACCCATTTTCAAAAGATAACTAATATAAAAAGAAATTGACCAAAATTCAAAATTAGATTGCAAATTATATTGAGAACATAAAATTTTCCATGTCTAATTTTTTTTACTTTTTTCTAGGAAACAAAAGAATATAGAAATTTTAAGATTATTAACTGTAAGATTTATTTTAAAATATGATTAGACATGATGGATGTATTATCCTACCTACCATGACAGAAAATTATTTTTAACTTTAACTTTGATAGAATGTTAAAACTAAGTTTATAAAAGATCTCCTCATAGAAGCTAACCTTCTGAAATTATTCTGTAACTTGGATGAGTTTTAGTTCAAAATTTTCTGAAACAATATAAATCATCTATAAGTTCTAAGTGAACACATTTCTCCCACAATCAAGCTAGATTGAGAAAGTAAATATATACTTACAATATAGAGAACATATCATGGGAAGCACGTAGACAGTTGTTATACTACTTCACTGTATTATCAAATCCTTGAGTTATTACATTCTAAATCTGATGAGAAAGAGAAATAAAGTAGTATGTTAGTTAAATGCACTGGATGTACTCTATATGTAGCTAGATAACCAAAAGAAATCCAAAAGAAATAATGCATGCTAAAAACATAAATCTTTCTGTATTATTGTGTTCTTTGTTGATATCTATTTGTGATTTCTGTTAAATTTTTTTTTTTTTTTTTTGAGATGGAGTCTCGCTCTGTGGCCCAGGCTGGAGTGCAGTGGCATGATCTCGGCTTACTGCAAGCACCGCCTCCCTGGTTCACGACATTCTCCGGCCTCAGCCTCCTGAGTAGCTGGGACTACAGGCGCCCGCCACCACGCCCGGCTAATTTTTTTTGTATTTTTAGTAGAGGTGGGGTTTCACCGTGTTAGCCAGGATGGTCTTGATCTCCTGACGTGATCCGCCCGCCTCGGCCTCCCAAAGTGCTGGGATTACAGGCGTGAGCCACCGCACCCAGCCCGATTTCTGTTAAATTTTACAAAAATGTTATTGATGGTCGGGCGCAATGTCTCATGCCTGTACTCCCAGCACTTTGGGAGGCCGAGACGGGTGAATCACTTGAGGTCAGGAGTTCAAGACCAGCTTGGCCAACATGGTGAAACCCCGTCTCTACTAAAAATACAAAAATTAGCTGGGTGTGGTAGCAGGCACTTGTAATTCCAGCTACTGGGGAGGCTGAGGCAGGAGAATCGCTTGAACCTCGGAAATGGAAGTTGCAATGATCCGAGATCACACCACTGCACTCCAGCCTCAGTGACAGAGCAAGACTCTGTCTCAAAAAAAAGTTATTGAATAGTTAAATGGTTACAATATATAATAAGGGAAATATCATTAAAAAGAATGAATGTTCTAGGTTATAGTTGAAACTCTAAGAAAGTGAGTATAAGATATCTCGATAATCAAATATATTTAAAGTTTCCCATTTACAGAATAAATTGTGCCCATGTCACAAAAAAACAAACAAAAAAAGTTGCTAAATCATCTGGATGTATACAACTATCTGAATGCTTAGAAATATAAAGATCAAATAATTCGATGATTTGCCTAAACATCTGTCATTTTAATGGTGATGTGTGTCAGCCAACATACATGATTAATATAAACAGAGGTAAATGCTATTATTTGGATGTTTTGCCCAATCAAGAACAAATATCTTTAAACTATGGAATAACTTAAAGTATTATAAAGGGCAGATTCAGTTTTCTCTTTAAGATAATGCCACCAGAAGTATGTTACATAAGCTTATCCCGTCAAAAAAATGCATTTTTGCTATAGGACAGACCCAAGGGGCTTCTTACACTTAGAACTAACCGAAAATACTTGTTAAGCATCTTGTTCTCATTACATACACCCATGCACACACGCTTGCGCACACACACAAACAACGTTATGTTCTGATTTTATGTCCCTCAAACACTTGCATTTTTTTTCTTTCCTAAAGCAGTAGATTTTAAAACAAAATTCAATCTGATTTCTTTGTGGATTTCTACATAGCCTTGGACTATGCTTGAAAGAAAAATAATTTAATTTTCCACTGAATTTAGTACCTTTTCACCCTTATATTTTGATATTGGATTCAAACACATTTAAAGATAATACAAGTATGAAGAAATGGATCTGTCTTGTCTTTAAAAAGTCAAATATCACCTAATTGTTCTTTTTCTCAAATGCATAAGACATTGTAAATGAAGAAATTTGTCTATATTTTGTAACATTTGTTTAGTGTTTTTGTGGGTGTGTGTGATTGTCATATAATTATGAAAGCATTATTGTAAGGTAGGTTTTAGTTTCCTCATTTTAAAAGGTTCTGATAACTCAGATAACTGGTACATATTAAGAAGCTGGGAGGTATTGGTAGCCGTGGGTCAAATCCAAACCTGACTTCAAAGTGTCTCCTCTTTCTTATTACAATCTTCACTTGCACATGGCTTCCGGATGTTGTTTGTAAGACTATTCTGCTTAACTATCTACTTTCAATACTATTAGAAGTCCCAATTAGAAAAAATAATAAAATGCTTTATAGAGTAAATGAATTTCTTTGTTGAAACTGTGTATAGCTGTCTTAGGATTGTTAAATGAGTAAAACCACAAACACAATATTGCATATAAAGTATGCAGTGTATTGGTTATAATTCTGCACATAAAAGATCAAAATAATCACTAAATAAAAACTAGAGAAGAGGCATAGACATCCATATATATTGGCTCCCAAACATCTGTCATATATACATATATATATTACTATTTGCTGTCACAACATTTGAATTCATTGTACCAGTGTTTTCTTGTTTTTGTTTTTACCATCCAACATCTGATTCGGTGCTTTCAAAAAGACCTTGGCTGAGAAGTCAGAAAAATCAAGGATTTAGAATTATTTCTAGAATGAGAGCAAATAATGAGGGCCAGGAAGTGGCCTGAGTTCTTTTATCTATTTGGTAACTCAGATTTGTGTGTGTGTGTGTGTGTGTGTGTGTGTGTGTGTGTGTGTGTGTTTCCCAAATCATGGTTATAATTTAATGGCTCAGCATGCTGAATAAATCACACTTAAGTAATTGAGCTACTCTTTTGATTACTTTTGTTGATAATGATTTATTTGAACTTAGTTTTTATTATCTCTATCTCCCTTTTTCTATTATGTATAGGGAGAAAATCATTTTCTCCATTCCCTATATTTGTGTCCAAGCCAGTCAAATAATGATAGTACGTTTTTCTCTTTTGCTTTTCTACATGTCTTTCTGCCTACAATGATAAGGCATCTGCCTGCCGTGGGGTAGAGGTGGGAAAGAGACACTCAATTTCTGTTATTTAAAGCATTATTTTAATGTATAGTTTAACATCAGTCTTTAGAAAGCCCTTCAGTTTCTTCCTCTATATCAAGACCAGGCTTGATGGGTGAGTTTATTATTTGGATGTTTTGCCAAGACCCAGATGCTTAGTAACTTAAAGATGAAACATTAAGATGATTCACTAAGTGTTTTTACTTTTCATCTCAATGTTTGCCAACAAATATAAATGACTGGGTTTGCATGGAATTTTGTATAAAGGAGTTTCAAATCATGTAGAAAGAACAGGCCAAGCACAGTCGCTCATGCCTGTAATCCCAGTACTTTGGGAGGCCCAGGCAGGAGGACCTCTTAAGGGCAGGAGTTCAAGACCAGTTTGGCTAACATAATTAGACCCTGTTTCTACAAAAAATAAATAAATAAATAAATAAATAGGCACATTTGTGCATACCTGTAGTCCCAGCTACTCAGGAAGCTGATGTGGGAAGATTGCTTGAGCCCAGGAGTTTGAGGTTATAGATGATCATGCCACTGCACTCCAGCCTTGGCAACAGAATGATACCCTTAAAAAATGCACAATAGGAAAAAAGCCTTCAGGCATTCTTTTGAGAAATGCCAGAATAGGTGGAGAGAAAGAGCTCAATGGTAGAGAAAAGTGGCTGCCACCGCTCTTGTTTTTTCTTCCCAGCTTGTCGAGGCCAATCCTCTAGGGGATGTATCTTTTGAAATTCTTAATTAAGTTGAGGGGATGCTCAGGGTTTTTGCTTTCAAGTTTTGGAGGACATTACTGTGCTGAGTAATCCCAAGCTAACATGTGGATCCCAAGTAGCAGTCAAGGAGGCCCTGTGGCATGACAGATTCACTTTGCAATCCCAAGTTTCCTTTAGCTATCATGCAATATGGATAATAAGTTGAGGGGGATAAATGGGCCTTCTATGAGCAAAATGGCTCAGCCAAAAACGTTTATGAGGCTCGCAGCTTTAACCAGATGTCAGAAGAGAAAAGTAGTAGAGACTCTGAGGAATCTGAGCACCAAGATCAAGGGCAGGCTGAATTAGCAAGGCCATTAGAAGAGACAGAGCTGAGAAAGAACTGACTGAGAGTTGCCAGCACCTGATGGAAAGGCCCACTGAAGAGAAGCAGCCAGAAAAGGAAGATTTCATGAAGGAGGTCATGTATGAGTTGAAGACAATGACTCAGCCTTATATTCAAGATCTAGCATTACAAGGAGAGTAGACACAAAGTGCAAAGTCCCACGACAGTAACAAGCACTGCATGTTCAAACAAAAAAGAAAAACACCCCAGTATACCTGTAGCTATAGTTCCCCTCACACCCATAGTGCTCTGGGTGTGAGGGGAAGGGTAAGACAGCCAGGCAGCAGCAGGTCTTGATGGGCCTCAAAGGCCATTGTAAAGAGTTAGACTTTATAGTGCAATGGATACGAGAAGGTTTTGGCTTGGAACTAGCATGATCTGAATACAATTTTAAATGATCACTTCAACTGTTCTGTTGACAATAGAGGGGCAAGCCTGGAAGCAGTAGCCAGTTCAAAGGCTATTACTGTCCTTGAATTGAGAGACAATGGTGGTTGTTAGGTTTGGTGGAAATAAGTGTTTGGATTTGCAATACATTTGATATATTTGAATAAAGTATTAAATCCAATTCATTAGTATGGTCATTTCACAAACACAAATGCATCATTGAGTCATCATTTTTGAATCATTGTTGAGTAATTTTTTTGTAGAGAAGGGTCAGTTTAAATAATAAAATATAGATCTTTATGCAAGATACTTTAGTAAATTTGGGGAAAAATTCACCAAAGATGAAGAATATGGAGACACACTAGTTTTATATAATTGTTTTCAGTTGCTGTTGAATTAAAGTTAGTGCAAATGATTAAGAAAAACACTATACAATCTATAAATATAAAAGAACAAAGAAATGACCAAATGGAGCATTATTTATTTAAAAAGAAGCTTCAGAGAACTCTGAATGGTGTTGTTAGAAACACCTCAGATATATTGAAAACTGAATTCCATTAATAGAAGCAAGCTTCTTAATTCAGCTGACCAGATGACATTAAAGGACATTGAATTTTGAAAAATAATGACAAGTACTATGTGCTGTTTATGATAATAAGTGAGCATTGCTGCCAAAAGAGGTCATGGAGCCAAATCCTGTGGCTATACTTTAAGTAGAATTTTATGAAATCAAAATTTTATGACTGGTCTTTAAGCTTTTTTTAATTCAACATACATTTTCTAAATGTCTTCTATGTAACAGAGAGTTGGTAGGGGTTATGGCCATAAGGGTTCCTAACACTCTCTCTCTGCCCTTGAAATCTTCACAATCTAGAAGTGGAAGGGGAAAAAGAGAAATGAACTGTGTGTGTACAAATGAACTGTGTGTGTACAAATGAACGGTGTGTGTGTGTCTGGCTTCGGGTACAATGTAGTGGCATTCTATTTTGCAAGGTGGAAGCTTAATGGAAAATAGGTTATGCAAAGTGAATACTGAATAACGACAAGGCACTTCAGCATGAGCAAAGATAAGCATAACAAGGATAATGTCATTTTAGGACTAATATCATATTGGCCTCTGTGGAACAGAGTGGTAGAGAGTGTAATGGAAGACATGCACAAGGCAGTGAAGGTGAGCTGGAGAACCCCTGGGTCATGCTGAGAGCTTGATTCTCATTAACGCTAATAATAATAACACGTAGTGATAAAAGAGTGTTCACTATATACAGGCACAATTTTAAGGGTTCTATACATATATGTTCTCATTCAGTCCTGTCAACGAGCTTATGAAGTAGTACTATTCCAGTTTTAGAGATGAGAAATGTGATGCACAGAGAGGTTAAGCAATTTGTCCAAGGTCATTCAGCTTGTAAGTGGTACAGCTGGACTGGAACCCAGACAGATTGATTCCAGAGTCTCATTCTTGGTGTGATGTGTCTGCCTCTTGCATACAACATGGGATGATTTGGCTCTAAATAATTTCTTTTTCATAAATGTACATGGAAAAGAAAATTTTCCCCTCACAGTCCAAAAAATGTTGGTTGGCTCTTTACATTAGGTAGAAATATGAATAAGAATCCTAGACTGAAAAGAACAAAGCCAAGTGAGAATGAATGAGAAGAAGGGAGGGAAATAATGGACATTTCTTAAGCTTTTTATTGTGGAACAAATTCTGAGCTAGATGATTTAAAGGTCATCTCCCCAGGTCCATAGCTTTGCAATATCTGACAAAAAAAAAAAAAAAGTGGCCATGAGAGACGTGCATGATTTGTACTTACTTCTACAGCTCTTGTTTATTTTCATTATCTGAAATCTTTCAAGGGTTGTGCTTTCTTCTTATTCCTTCTCTCTCACTTAGCTCACTTGAATGATCTGTCTTGACTCTATAGTTAAAGTGAATAGGATGTAGATCCTCGTGAGTTGAACAGGGTTGGATGTTCTGTAGAAGGCTAGCCTTGAATGATATAGTCTGTTCTACATGCTGAGTTGCTGGAGGCGACAGAATTAGTAACACTTAGGACCATTGACAAACATCAATGTCTTAAGAACTTAAAATACACTTATGCTTGGAATACAGATTAGTAATGGTTATAATAGATGTTTGACATAGATTTGTCCAAATTTATACATATACTTTATCGATAGAAATATTTTCAACATGTATTTCGGGGAAGGGAAAGCTGCTTTGTTCTTTTAAAACTTGCACACTTCAGGACAAATTCTTGAGCTTCTTCTCCTGAGCTTTAAGCAGTACTAGAAATCTCCTTGTACATTCTTCCTAAAGCATCTATTTTATTCAAAGATTGGAGAAAATGAAATTTGTTCTAAAATAGAGAGACAGTATATCGTAAATAAAATGCAGAATGTACATATATTTTTAAAGACTTATTTAATCAAAACATTTATGGAATCCCTATTATGTTAGGTGCTGTTGTGGTTGTTGGGGCTAAGGCTGTTGTTCCTACACATTTATGGTTGTCTTATGCTGGGGGTTAGAAAATAAAATATGCAAGTTTTAAGACATGTATGAATAATTTTTTATGGAATACGGTGGATGCATATTTTGCCTTCAGATGCTGGAGAAAATAAATCATGAATGTTTTCATTTAGACCAGAGGTTAGCAAAGCTATGCCCTAGAGATCCATATGGTAAACATTTTAGGCATTGTAGGCCAGGAGGCAAATTCAAAGATGTCCTATAGGTACGCATATATTATACAATTTATGTTGCATCAGCTTCACTCTGCTTTTGTAATATGAAGGCAGACATACATAAAGTGCTGTAGTTTACCAAATTCTGGTTTAAACCAAAATGAATTTTTTTATTTTTTAATTTCACTGAGACATATGTCTGAAAAATGGTTTGATACTTTGTGTCTTTCAATCAAATCAATCAAGTTTAAGCACTCCATCTCTTCATTTCTCTAGCTCTAAGGGGGTCTTGGAATAATTAAACCGATGAATGATAAGCCATGACTTTTCTTGTAACAGGCCTGGGAGAGACAGACCAGTCAGTAGCCTGGGAGCTTCTGATGGATAGAATAAGGTTTGGGTTAAGTTCTGCATGTTGCTTCCAAAGACTGCAATGCACTTCATACTTATTCAGATGGTGTTTTAATTCCTCATCTTACATGTTAAAATCCTCCCAGGAAGAAGGATCTGAAGATAGGAGATAAGAGGTAAAGTCAGCCAAAGATTGTATAACAGTCACACCCACCAAGAAGTACATGCCTCTTGGAACTGGGATTGGGAAAGTAGGCCAGGGTCAGACAGTTGGTGACACTTCATACCCCTTTATTAATTTTTTGTCTATGGCAATAACAAGAAAAAAATTGAATACTTCCTTTTAAAAGCACATATTTTTAAGAGTGTTAAATGACGTCAAGATAAGATAAAGCAGGGTTTTGATATGCTGTTGCTCTTCTCCCAATAACCCTCCCTCCCAATTCTTCTGACAAAAATAGAGGAAGCATTAAGAAGATGAAGGAAGGAAGGAAGGAAGGAAGGAAGGAAGGGTTGATGGATTGTGATGATTTATCTTGGGCTCATTCTCATTGACATAGCTCCATACATGCTGCCTGCTATCTTCAGTCAGGCTCCCAGAACTCCAGAACTCTAGGGGTAGTAAGAGGCAGTTCAGGCTTTCTCTCTTTCCTGACCCCTGGATGACTTCTTCTACAAGAAGCTGACATTCATTGAACAGGTTATCCCAATGTACTACAAAGTCTAGAGATCACTAATGTCAGAAAAGTTAGGATACACTGGTTTGTTCTCTTTAACACTGGGTTCTTAAAATTTAATAGGCATAAGAATCATCTAATGGCTTATTAGAAACAGATATTTATGAAGTATATTTCCAGAGATGCTGATAATAGGTACGGGTAAGATCCTGAATTTCCATATCTAACAATGTTCCTAATTTTTAGAGGAATTTGTTGCAGATGTTTGGGAATCATGCTGTGAAAAATAACAGATCAGCTCCAGAGTGTTCAAAACAACTGAATAAAAAAACTATAGAAACTTATCATTATTTAAATAACTGTTAAAACTCTTCTTGAGTATAAATTAACTGCATGAAAAATAATTCTATCACTATAAATTTTAATTAGAAAACTTAAGACACAGCTTTTCATTTAGACAAAAGGCTCTTGGGAAATCAATAATCAAATGATAAAATTTAGCATAGTATGTATTTTGTAATCAACAAAGAAGACATACTAGTCCTAGCAAAAATATTAAATAGCTATTTTATGCTATGGCAATTGAATTTAGAATAATATGATTTTTATTTTAAAGGTGTGCTTACACTGATGAGGGATTTTTAAAAATCAAAATGCCTTGTTAAATTCTCCTCAAACAATGAATGTTCTGGGAAAGAAAAAGAGTCCACTCCAATTTTAACTGCAATTTCTATATTAAATACAATAGTTTGAGCTATGTGTTAATAATACATGGTTTACAAATAAACTGAGTTATTAAAAATGAAATACATTATATTGTTCAGAACATAAGGCAATTTACCACAAAGCAGTACTCTGACTCACTGCATACAAAGAAATGCATTTTGTTTTAAAACAGATTTATCTCCTTTTGAATCATTTTAAAACTTGAATTTCAGGATTTTAATAGCCTAAATAAAAGTACCACATTCTTCTGAACTTATTCCTTAGAGGCGTGAGCATTCCACCACTATGAATAAATCTGACTCTAAGTAAGCACGGAAGAACCCAGATTGCCTGATACGAAGCCTCGAGATGACTCTTTATCTTTGTTCTTATTTGTTCTTCTAATAAACACTTAGAATGTATTTTGGAAAAAATAAAATCTGTACCTGCCAAAAAATCTGTACCTGCCTTCTATTTTGTGTAGAAAACTACACAAAATAATTTACACTTGTGTGGCCAGGCGCGGTGGCTCATGCCTGTAATCCCAGCACTTTGGGAGGCTGAGGCGGGTAGATCACGAGGTCAGGAATTCAAGATCAGCCTGGGCAAGATGGTGAAACTCCGTCTCTACTGAAAACACAAAAAATGTGCCGGGCGTGATGGCAGGCGCCTGTAATCCCAGCTACTCGGGAGGCTGAGGCAGGAGAATGGCATGAACCTGGAAAGCGGAGATTGCGGTGAGCCGAGATCACACCACTGCACTCCAGCCTGGGCGACAGGGCGAGACTCCGTCTCAAACAAACAAACAAAACAAAAAAAATAATTTACACTTGGGTAGTTTTCTACTGCCAACATTTTTCATCAATGTCCTTCATATATTTTATATCTATCCTTCATATATGGACCATGTATGGCAAATATGCAGATCTAAATTCATCTTAACATGGGAAAATTAAAATAAAGTATCAAGCCATTTTTCATATAATTTGGTCAAATAATATTAAAATATTTACTCTAAAAGTGAAAACATTACTAAAGAAAAAGGAAATAACATACACAACCTAAATTTTCTGCTTAAGTATCCTTTTCATTTCGTAGCTGATCTACTCTGGCAAATGGGTAGAGAAATATAACCTTGGCCTTGAGTTTACTGAAGGTGGAAAGTTGAAAGCTCTGGATAGAAAGCAGTTACTAGGAATGCTCTTACCCTTAACAGTGTGTACATTATTCAGTACATTTGTGTTATAAACTTCTTTAGAAAGGCAGTGTTATTCTGACTTTTATGTAAATTGATTTAATCAGATAATGTGGTTGTCCTTCTAAACACTTAGCTGAGATTAGCCGCCTGTTGTGCATTGAATTATGGCACCCCTAAAAGACATGTTGAAGTCTTAACCCCTGGTACCTGTGAATGGGACCTTATTGGGAAATACATCATTTGCCAGTGCAATCAAGTTAAGATGGATCCACCAATTAACTTTATTATAGTAATTATTTTACTATGTATATGTATATCAAAAGCATGCTGTATATCTTATTTATACAATTTTCATCCATCAAATATACGTCAATAAAGAAAAGATGGAAAGAAAAAGATGAAAATCACACTGGACAGGGTTAGGCCCTAAATCCAATGACTGGTGATATGAGAGAGCTTTGGAGACACACAGACTCACAGAAAGAAGTCTATTAAAGAAGAAACAGAGATTGTAGTTAAGCTGCCACAAACCAAGAAACTTGCTAGCAACCACCAGAAGATAGAGGGAGCAAGAAATGATTCTTTTTGGAGCCATCGGAGAAAGCCTGACACTATCGACACCTTCAGTTTGGACTTCTAGCCTCCAGAATTGTGAAAGAATAAATGTTTGTTGTTTGAAGCCACCCAGTTTGTGGTTATTTATTATGGCAGCCTTAGGAAATTAACACACTCCTCATAGATTTAACTTTAATTTGGGTAAGGAGAGTAGTTGAGGTAACGGTGGGATGCTGTAGTGTTGAGTTCTTGAATATAAAGAAGGCAGAATAAGAATTCTGTTCACCTGAGAGATGGAAATTTAGGACAAAGAGGAAGAAGGAAAGTGTCTAGAAAATACATACATATGCATATACACACACGCGCGTATATGTTTGTGTGTGTGTATTTGCCCTGACTGAACTTAAAATCATCTTAAATAATGCTGTCACATGATAATATTGTTGAAATATGCACTGGTCTCCTCCCCTACTCCCCATTCAAGCATTTGGCCATTCCTTATTCACTTAGCTGATGCTGAAGTCCTGAAAGTCTATTTCTGACTGCTATTTTCCCATAGCCCAAGACCAAGGAAGTCTGGACCTGCCTACCACTCTCTTGGCTTTGTACAGTCTGCTTTAGTCACTCTAGCCTTCTGTCAGCTCTTCAAAGTTCTCTCCTGTTTCCATATGTAATGTCTATTGGCACAGCATGTCACACATTCCAGTGTAGCATGATGCATGAGAGGAAACTAAGTTTAAACTATTCTCTCTGGTATAATGGGAAGATGTTTTCTTTTCAAATTTGGTATACAGGGGTAAAACACGCAATTTCTACATGATATTTGATGTGGGTATCAAACTCAACTACATCTGGAGCTTAAGATTTTTCAACCTGAAAAAGCTGATTAAAAAAAGAAAATTAAGAAGCTTGAACTTCAAATCCAATGAATCATATGTGATTTTAAGTAAAGTTATAGGCTTAAGGCTGTTTACACATATAACTCTAAGACAAGATGACTGTATTGTAGCAAAATGTGTCTCAAAAGTGAACTCATGGCCCATTTGGGTCAGCTTTGAGAGAAAAAATTTATAACACCTCTTAGAGAAGCACCTGACATGAAAATTTTATTGGCCAAAAAAATTCAAGGCAATTACAGATCCAAGGACTCAAATAAAAGGAAAAGGAAGTAAGAATTAGAAAATTATCTCAGTAAAAACAAAACATAATTATTATTTTAAATTAATGGCAATGACCTAATAATCTTTTTTTTTTAAACTCAGGTAAATTTAGTGCTGTATTTATATGTAAAATTTCTGATATATTGTTCTTACTTGTCATTGTAATAAATATGTTTATAATATATGCCATCTTTTAAATACCTACATCTACATATGAACATTTACATTAGCGCACATAATTTTTAAGAAATAAACAACGATCTCTCAATAACATTGTTACCTACTTCCATATAAAGATGTGATATTAGAAAGTTTATATCTGCATACAATTGTCATGACAAATCAGGAAAGTTTTATTGTGTTTTATTGAAATAACCTCTGATTATTTTTTGAGACTTTACACACATATTTTTACACACACGTGCATACATATCCATATGTGATATCAAATGAAATAAGTAACTATTAAATATATCTTCATATATAAACATATTCTAATAATCATAGGATAAAATGATATAAATTCCTGGTGACATTGACCAGGTAGAAAGGGAGAATATGAGCCTGTGCAGCATAGCAAGACCTTGTCTCTAGTAAAAAAAAAAAAAAAATAGCTGGGCGTGGTGGTGCATACCTGTCATTCCAGCTACTGAGGAGGCTGAGATGGGAGGATAGCTGGAGCCCAAGAGGTCAAGGTTGCAGTGAGCTGTGATTGCACCACTGCACTCCAGCCTGGGCAACATAATGAAATCTTGTCTCCAGAATTGGAGTATGTAAAAGAATGAAGATTTCCCCGCCTCCTCAAGGAGGAAACTTGTGACCTCCTTAATGAAATAATTGAACATGAGGGTAAAATGTACATTTTTATGTTCTTTTTTTTTTAAGACAGTTTCACTCTTGTTTGCCCAGGCTGGAGTGCAGTAGTGCCATCTCAGCTCACTGCAGCCTTCACCTCCCAGGTTCAGGTGATTCTCCTGCCTCAGCCTCCTGAGTAGCTGGGATTACAGGCACCCCCCAGCCCCCACAACACATCTGGCTAAGTTTTTGTATTTTTAGTAGAGATGGGGTTTCATCATGTTGGCCAGGCTGGTCTTGAACTCCTGACCTCAGGTGATCCACCCACCTTGGCCTCCCAAAGTGCTGGGATTATGGGCATGAGCCACCGCACCTGGCCCATTTTTATGTTCTTAATATTTTTTTCCCTCAAACATTATTCTTGAAGATATTTTAGTAAAACAAGACACCCACACAAACATGCCCACACATATATATTTGCATGAACTGAAAAAGATTACTTAGGCATTTTAAATTTAGAATTCTTTGCAGAATTAAGAACACTTAGGTTAAAAATATTAAGTAGTAGTTACATAACGAGATATGAAGTATCTAGTTTTGTTTAATAATTCACACTTGATTACACATGTATGCAATGTACTAAGTAGAAATCTTGATGCCGTCTTTAATCCTGATGCCTCCTAAACTTCCATTTTCATTCAAACACTAAGTCCTAATTCTAACTTTTAATGTATCTTTCCCTTCCTTTTAATACATTGTCACAGCCAAGAGTATCTTCACATATATTAGGAAAACTACAGATTTTACAACGGTGTGTTGTCACAAATGATAACTTTCTAAAACATAGACACTCAGGTTTAACTCAACCCATTCCAAAGGTCAAACTGTTCAGTAGTACCTCACTACCTGACAACTTAACATGGAAAAGAAAGGGGGTTCTTCAAATTCTAACCTGCGTCTTCACTTCTTGGCTTATCGATCATCACTCCTCACCATACCTCAGTCATACAGCTCTGTTCTCCATTTCCCAAAATTGTAAATTTCTTTAGCTATCTCCAGAGTTCTTGTCCATATTTTGGCTTTTGATTAATATCTCTATTAAAACATGTGAAATTCTTCTAATCATCTAAGACAAAAGTGAAATCTTTCTCACTTTATAAAGTTTCATCTTTAAATCCTCTGTACTCCCATAGATAATTTCATATTGACATCAAAGTATTTCCTTTACTTTACCTTGTACTATAATGAATGAATTCTCAAATTTCTGTTTTCTCATTAGATTGTGAGATTTTTGAGGACATTGACTGTTTTATTTATGTTGTAACTTTGGAGCCTAGAACAGCATTTTAAATATTATATGTGTGTGTGTGTGTGTGTGTGTGTGTGTGTGTGTGTGTGTGTGTGTTGGTGTGTGTGTGTGTTAAATTCCAAGTAATAATTCCTTTGAGGACACTTTTTGATAATTTTAAGAAATGGTGTGAAATGAAAATCATGGTCAACCTCTAGTAAGACCATTGCTATTGCAAATGTTCCTTCTGATTTCCCTTGGGTATGTTATTTTCCATGTAAATCTTAATGAATAATACCCCTTTGGTACTGGATCACAAACAAATCGAATCAATTCTCACCCAATGTTAGCATTTGCAAAATGAACTAATAAATACAAGAGGATTCATTGCCATTCCATTGACCTTTTTGTTGCAGACTGCATAAAAATCTCAAGAGCTAGCTTAAAGTTCAATTAATAAAGATTGCACATAATGTACAAGGTTATTTTGTTCTCCATACATTGAGTTTTTCAGTCTGTGGTAGAAACTAATTACTCAACCTCTGTGCAGGAACACTGGATATTTTATCGATGAGTGTCTCCTTATAGAAATCTGGCTTTGGAAAAAAATTGATGAGTGTCTGGCCATCAAAAGGCAGGCATAAAATGATGACATTTTATATTCTAAATACACTAATAAATTTATTACTATCAGGCAAGCAGCAGAAAGTCTGAAGTAAATTTTATATAGAAGATTGCATAAATATTCAGGAACACTGTGATTTTGTGGCATTTTATCATTTTCATATAATTTTAAAGGAGACACTCCAAGTATGAGGTCTATGAATGGAAACATTGGCAACTATTTTTCTGAAGTGTTAATGAGATACTGTTTCTGACCTTTTAAAAAGAAATACAAAAGGTTACATATAAAGGAGGAAAACAGAAATAATCATAATAGCATGTACAGTTTTAGCATAAAAGGAGGAAAACAGAAATAATCAGAATAGCATGTACAGTTTTAGCTTAAGAAGGATAAAAATGTCTTTCTGTTATAAAATCAAGTCACACATTCCATATGTGCATAAAGTTAAAATAGTAAGAATGTTGTAAGTGAGGCACAAAGAAATGAAATGGCTCCTCTGTTCTCCCAAATTGTTGTGAATCATCTTTAGTGATTTGCTTCCTAGAATAAGTCCAGAGAAAATTGTGAACTTTATACAGATTTTCACATCCTAAGGTAAAATATGAGACTCCTATTATTTACTCATCTGTTTGACAAATATTTATTAACTATTACACATAAGGTTCTGATAATACAGAGATAAAGGATGCACAGATTAATTCTTCAAGGACTTCACAGTACTTGAGAAGACAGATGCAAAAGAAAATTAGGGTACATTTTGGTAAAGACTATGACAGAGACATGCACAAAATTTTATGAGAGCACAAAGGAGGTGTATACAACAGTATCTCAGGGAAAAGTTACAGTAACAGACAGTACCATGCCTCATCTAAATCCCCTGGATTTCAACAGCACATTTGAAATTTCCTAAGATTTCCTTGTGGATAGGATGAATAAATGTGGGTTGAATAGTTAAGCAGTTTGTTGAATCTGTAGGTGATAGATCTTTCCTACCAAACAGTATTGATTAATGGCTCACTGTAAAACTGCAGGAGGTCCCTGGCTTCTATTATTCTTAAAGTAATTTTTAATGAACTATTTGATGACACATAAGACATATTGAATACATTTGGGAATGACTCTAACTGGGACAACTATGTTATGTAATTTCCAAAGAGCTTCACAGGCTAGAACAGTGGCTGAAACTGACAATGGAATTTAATGGTAAAAATATGGAGTTAAATTTAAAAGTCCACTAGGGCAATAGAATGATAGAAGGAGCTAGCTATAGTCTTTTAGGTGAAAAGAATCTAGAGTTTTAGCTAAATGAAAGATCACTGTGGATCGTGAGTGATTAAAGAAATGTTGCCTGGAACATTACTTGAATCTTAAACTACAACAATAACTCTGTATTTGAGTTTGGGGGAATGTGGCAGTAGTTTGACTTTCTCCAAAATCAAGAACATTGAGTGTCAGAGGAGGGAGATCCAGAAGTTATAGGTTCTGAAAATCATGCTTTATAAAAAGTAGTTGACAAAATTGGAGGTGTTTAGGGAAAGAGAAGATCTAAGAAGCAACTAAAATAACTATTCATTCCATCCATTTATTCAATCTGCAAGTCTTATTTTTTTTTCTTTGTTTTCTTTTTTTAAGTGTCAGTATGTCAGACACATGCTGGGAATAGGCAATAACTTAGACAAATAGCCTGACCCTAGAATCCTCTACTTCAAGTGCAGAGTTCTTAACCTGGAGCCTGTTGGTTGGGGTGGGAGCAAGGGTGGCACGGTATTTTGAAGGTCTGTGCTCCTCTGGAAATTGTATGCATATTTTTTTGTATCTTTGCCTTTTTATATGAAGGTGACTTTCTTAAAATAAATGATGATTTAAAAATATTTAAGAAGGACTTGTCTAGTGGAAAAATTATGTATATTCACAGACACATAATGATAAAATACAAAGTGAATATACATTATGTGGGTTACTATACTTAGGAGGAAATTTGAGCCGTATTTTTTATTATCCCATAGGGAAGACAGAGAGCTCTATCTAAATAGAGCTCATGGAGTAAGAAATTGAACTATGTCCTATATCAAAGATTTTATTTGTTATTGTTTGTTTTTGTAATGTTCATTGAAAGTTATCGATCAACAGTTTTTACGTTTTCACCTTATCTACAGCATCTGTATGCTAAAAGATGCCTCAGACTATAATATCTACCTCATACATTTTACTCATGAATTCATTCACTCATACAACAATATATATATTTTTAACTATCTTCTTTGCAGTGCTTTTCAGGTACATATTTAATAAACCCTGACTTGTTTGCTAATTTCCATGGTGTAAATATTCTCAGTAAGGCCAATTCCAAGCTACCTACATATGTCGCAAAAAGCAGGATTGGAAGAGAGCACACAACCCACTCTTCTGAGCTTGGGGAGCTGGCTCCAGCACACCGCTGCTGCTGTGATTCCCACACTATATTAGGTGCCAGGGTTATAAAGACGACTAAAACTGCTCCTTTTCTCAGGGAAATCCCTTCTAGTGAGAAGAAGAGTATGCATTTGGCTATTCTATTATTATCTTCTATGAATTACATATTCCTTCAGTATGTGTAGCCTAGATGCTGACCTGTGTCTTCTAATTCTGTGCTTTGACTTTGGATCCCTTGGGTAAATTTTGGATAGTCGTGGAAAATGATTTGTCTCTGTGAGCTTCACTTTCTTTATCCCTTATGGGAAGGAATTCATTCTATGACTGTTGCTTAAGTGCCTAATATGTGCTGGGTGCTCTAACACCAGAGATATTCAGTGAACAGATGAAATAAAAATTCCTCCCCTCATTGAGCTTATGTTCTGGAAGGAAGAGTTGAAAAAACAAGAAACGAATAAAAACCATATTGTGCTAGATCATTTTGAGCTCCAGTGAAAAAAGTAAGGAGAAAAAGGGGCTGGGGTAGAGTGGAGTTGCAATTTTCAATAGAGTAGGCAAAGGCCTTGGGAAGGTGAATTTTAAGTAAAGATCTGAAAGAATAAGACACACACACACACACACACACATGCCTTAGACACTAACACACTAGACAGAGGAATGGCAAGCACAAGGAGGCTGAGAGAAAACCATGTCTAGATTCCCACAGGACCTGTGAGGGGACCAGAGCAGTGAGAGTGGACTTAAAGAAGTGAAACTTGTAGACAAGATTAGATAGATTAAGGGAGTGATGGGACAGATTAGGTAAATTCTTATAAACCTGTGTAAGAACTCCAGATTTTAATCAGTGAGGTAAAAAGTCACAGAAGCCTAGAAGCAGAGGAGAGATATGAGCTGACTTATATTTTAAAATAACCACTCTGCTATGTTGAATATAGTCCACAGAAAGGCAGTAAACTAGTACAATTATTGAGATGAGGGATCCTGGGGGGTTGGATTAGAATGATTGAGGTGAGAAGTAGCAAGATTCTGGAAAACTTCAATTCAGAACAATCTAGATTTGACAGATGGATTGATGGTCTGAGAGAAAGGAATCAAGGAAGCATCCGAGTCTTTTTGCATCTGCAACTGGATGTAGTTGCCATTTACTAAGCTTGCCTGGTTTAAGAGTGATGATAAGACTTTCCATTCTATATATAATAAATTTGAGATATATATTAGACTTCCAAGTAGAGACATTGTATAGGTAGTTGGATATATGATTCACAAGTTTGTAGCAGAAATCCCAGCTAGATAGGTTTTATGAGTCATTAGATTATAGGTAATATCAGCAAAAACATATATTGCTGGACATTATGCTCTTTACAAACATCACATCATGTAATATGACAACAGTTCTATGACTGAGGTACTGCTATAATCCCTATTTTTACCGATGAGGTAAAAGAGAGGTAGACATAGAAAGGTAGAGATAGATCGCTAGCCCATGGTTACACATCTAACAAACTAGTTGAGCTGTAATTCAAAGCCAGACAGCCTGGTGCAAAGGTCTGTCCTCTTAGCCATAATGCCCAACATGAAATTTGATGAAATCACCAATGGAATTACTGGCCAAAGGCTGGGGCAGGACAACATATAGAAATTGTAAAGATGAGAAGAACCGGCAAAGTAAACCATAAAAAAAATTGCCAGTGATGTACAAAGCAAACCAGAAATGACAGCATCCTGAAAGAAAAGTGAAGAATGGGTTTGAACTTCTAAAAAGGGACTAACTTTGTCAAATGCTGCTGATAATTTAAATAAATGAGGACTGATACTTTGTCTGAATTCATTAATGTAGCAGCTGTTGGTATGTTAGACAGGAAAAGCTATGGTGAATGGTGGGGCAAGCCTAGTTGAATGTATTCAAGCGAAAGTTGAGGAAAGGAGTCAATCAGGCAATGTAATCATCTCCATAGAGGAGTTTCCTGGAAAGAGAATCTGAGAACTGATATGTGAACTGGAGGGAAATTAGATAATAATAAGTAATTATTGTAAGTATTAAGAAATGAGATTTGCAATGTTTAGAGCTGGGTTTAAACATAGGAGATGCTCTTTAAAGGTGAGGGATCATTCACATTATTTTATGAAATTATAGCTCATTAGTGCTTATTCTGTATATATGGGCATGTGATTGAAGGGTTAATAGATGGCTTCACAGATGATGTGACATTTAAACTAGTGTGTAAATAAGAATTTACCACATATCACGAAGAGGACGTAGGTGTTCCAGGCCAAAAGAAGAGCCTGAGCAGAAGCATGAGGTGAGAAAGGACATGGAGTGCTATCAAAATTGTGCTACACTTTGGGTACCGTGTACACTGCTCAGGAGATGGGTGCACCAAAATCTCAGAAATCACCGCTAAAGAATTTATTCATGTAACCAAACACCACCTGTTCCCCAAAAACCTATTGAAATAACAACAACAATGACAACAACAAAAACTTGTCTTCCTAGGACACAGGTTTGCATTAGAAAAAAAAATGAAGAAAAAAACTTTGTAGTTCCCTCTAGCCTGGAAGTTTCCAAGAATAGCTTCCCTATTCAGGTATGTTTTTAGAAGTGCTGGGTTAAGCAATAAAAAAGCTATTTCTTTATTAAAAAACATTGTCAGAACTTTTTGAGTACAGTAGTTTCTACTTATCCATGAGAGATACATTCCAAGACCCCAATGGATTCCTGAAACCACTGATAGTACCAACCCAATATATGCTCTGCATGAATTACTTTTTCCTTCTTCACAATTTCATGGATAGCAGAGTCATTCTCATCATAGGTTGCAACCTCAGCATACGATTTTTTAAATTTCCTTATTTAGTACAGAACTTTCACTTTTTCATTAAAGAAAGTGCTTTATGTGTTCTCTTTGCCATATCCAAATAGCCAGCATCCTTGTGCTTTGGGGCCATTATTAAGTAAAAGAAAGGTTACTTGAACATAAGCACTGAGATACTGTGACAAGGTCTGATAACCAAGCCAGCTAGCTACAAAATGACCAACACAGCATGAATACACTAGACAAAGGGATGGCATGAGATTTCATCATGCTACTCAGAACAGCACACAATTTAAAACCTGTGAGTTGTTTATTTCTGGAATTTTTCATGTAATCTTTTCAGATCACTGAGGACCACAGGTAACTGAAACCACAAATAAGGGAGGACTATTGAATATGACATGCAGCGTATCCAAAACTTGTTTGATTTTGGAATCTTTCACAGAGCAGCATCAAATTTGAAGAAACACTGACTTAGATTAAAACATGACATATACATTCCAGCCTCATTAATTTCAGCAAAACTTTCATATCCTTGGCTCGCAATGCACCAAATTAGGGTTCAGTAGTCATACAGATGTGGATTTTATTTTTGACTCTGCTGCTGTATAACCTGGGGAAAGTTTTTCAACTCCTCTGTCCCTTAATTTATTCATTTGTAAACATTGTAACAGTAATGTATACCTTCCTCTGAAGGACTATTACACAGATGAAGATGGTGTGTGTAAGGTTCTTGGTAATATTTTAAAAGTTCATTTTGTGTGTGTATGTGGATCCATATTCATGCAATAACTTTGAGGCCATTTTTATGCCTGGAAAAGTGATGATTATTTGCTCATAAATAATATGGGCATGGAGAAATACATATTTAAATTCTAATTTTTGTTGCAGGGATATTTTCTGTTAAATATTCTACTTCTTAATACAATTTAATTTATTAACTCTTCAATGTAATTTCTTAACATATGTTGATATATATTGCCAAGATTAGCATATCCCTTTCCTCTGGTCTTAAATGCTTCAATGCCCATACTTCTAGAGGATACTGTCAATCATAGTATCTATATCCTGTCACTCAGGTAGAGATGCCCAAACCACATCAAACTGCATTAGTCACAGGGAAAAGATAAATGAAAGTGTGGAATTATCAAGAGAAAGCTATTTCAACAGGATCATGATCAAAATAAGAGAATCCTATGAAAGAAACGACTTTGCCAATTCATTCACCAATTTAGTAAATATTTGGTAGGCACCTTTAATGTGTCAAGAACTGTGCAAGGTACTAGGGGTATGATGCTTAGCAAAATAGATGCCATATCTGATTTTATGTGGGGAGAACAAGCCTAATGGGAGGATAGATACTAATCACAAAACCTCATAAGTCAATGAGAAATAACAACTGAAATAGTGCTCTCAAAGGAAGGAATAGAGGCTGGGTAAGGTGGCTCATGCCTGTAATTTCAATACTTTAGGAGGCCAAGGCAGGAGGATTGCTTGAGCCCAGGACTTTGAGACCAGCCTGGGAAACATAGCAAGACTCTGTCTCTATGATTTTTTTAAAATTTTTTAATTAGCCAGGCATGGTGGCATGCACCTGAAGTCCTAACTACTCAGGAGGTTGAGGTGGGAGGATTGTTTTAGCCCAGGAGGTTGAGCTGTGATTGTGCCACTGCATTCCAGTCTGGGAGACAGAGCAAGACCCTGTTTCCAAAAAAAGAAAAGGGAAAGAATGGTATGAAATGTTATAAAGAAAAATGACGGAATTTGACCTCGCATCTCCTGAATATGGGATGAGAGCTGAAAGATAAGTTATTTAAGAGGAAGAATAGAGCTAAAATACTCCAGAAAGAGGAAATGACATATGCAAAGTCTCGATTGTGAGTTGTGACAAGACACATTCAAGTGTATGAATGAAGAAGTCAGGTGAAGCTGGAGCAGACAGCTAGAAGAAGTATAATATTTGACCATTCTAGAAATGTCAGCAAAAATCAGATGATGCAGATTCCTAGAGTCTGTAGTAAAGAATCTGATATTAATCTTAGGAGTTATAGGAAGCCATTATAATATTTTATTTAGGGAATATACTCTCAACATTCTTTTTTAATATACTTGTTGTGAATATATCTATCAGAATACATAATATAGATTTTTCTTTATTTTTGAATTTCACACAAGTGTATCATAGGATAAGTATCATTCTCCAATTGACTGGTGCACTCAGTATTATGTTTCAGGGATATTCCCATAAAGATTTATACAGCTCTAATTCATTCATTTTACCTGCTGTTTAGATCGATATTGTCAAAATATTCTGGAAATTTTCGTTGATTACAAGGTTTTTCTCTAATCTATTAATCTGATAAATAGATCAATCAATTTTTTACTGTTAAAGTATTATTGTCCATTTGGGATACACCCTACTTTGTCATAGTATACTATTTTTAATTGCACTATTGGTTGTAATTTGACAATATTTTATCAAATATCATTTTTGTATCTATGTTGATAGTAGTATACTAAAATTTGAATTTCTCAAACTGTCCTGATCTAATAGAGTTTCAAGATTATGCTCACATTATAAAATTAGTATGGAAACTTTATTTCTGAAAATATTTTCTCGCTCAAAATCCTTAAAGATTCAATAAAACTTGCTTGTAATACCATCTGGACTTGGCAAAGCCCCTCCTTACCAACTTTTTAAATGGAAAATTTCCAAATTGATGAGGAGATTGCAGCAGTATTGCAAAGATCACCTACAAACCCTTCAACTAGTTTCAATTGTTAACATTTTGCCACAGATTTGTGCTCTCACTCTCTCTCTTTCTCACTCAGTCCGTTTCTCTCCTTAACTATCTGAAAATACATTGCAAGTATTATGACATTTCTCAGCTATATATTTCAAAATGTTCTTAGAAAAAGGGCATTCCTCTACCTGACTGCAATACCATTGTCATACCCATAAAGGCAATGATAATTGCATATCACATAATATGGGGCTCATATGCAATATTTTCACTTGTGTCTAAGATAAAACTGATTTCTTTTATGATCCAAGATATGATAATGAAGATTCATGCGTTGTTATTGACTCATTAGTCTTCTTTAATACAGAAGGGTCCCAATGAATTTATGAGTTCTTCCTTCCTTTGGTTTCTGAAAAATTGAATTTTTAGAAAATAATATTCTAATTTATTTTGTAAAATATTTCAAATTCAGTATTTAACCTTCTCATGGTTAAATTTAGGTTAAACATTTATGGGAAGAATACGTAAATAACGCTTTGAACTATTTGGTTTTTTATTTGCATGAGAGTCAAATAATGTCAGGCTCTCCTTCAGTTGGTGAAGTTACATCACTTGCTTAAGAAAGTGATCTATAAGATGTCAGTGTACATATTTCCCATTGCAATTAAAAAGTAATCTGCAGGGTGATATTTGAGATGGGGTAAATAGCCTCCTCCCCACCAGAATATATTCTCAATGGCTTTAACATTTATTGATGATTCTTGCCTGAATCAATTACTATTGCATTAGATATTACAAATTTCTTCTACTTTTGTTAGCGGCATTCAAATTTTAAATGCTTCCCTTTCTCTCATACTTTCCCTTTGTTTGTGTAATCCTATGGACTCCTGCATTTATTTTAATTCAATATCTTATAATAAATTAACATCTTTTTACTTTAGGTGTTTAAATTACATACAAATATGACCAATGAGTGTGTCTGTTGGGGTGTGTATGACTATTATTGTAGTAACTTTTTTTTAATAATTGTCTATTTCATACTGTCTCTGTGATTTAAAGTTGATCTGTTATGACTATAGTTGCATCGCTTTTTCATTCTTAATATTGTTTATTTTGCTTTTCCTTTTCCTTTCTGCTCAATCTTACCAGAGATGTGTATCTTTTACTTAGCATCAGTTTTTGTCTTGATGATCATGTCAAATATATGTTTTATTTTAGTTTTTAAATTTCAGTTTTATTTTACTATATAAATAGTAAAATTTGAGTTGATATAATTATGAGTTGATATAATTATTTCCTGTTGCTTATAAAATTGAACACTTTCATCTACTTTTAAAATATATAAATTGTAGTCTATAAGTATTGTTTTAACTACATCAAGAATTTTTTTCAAAAATTAATATCTCACAAAAAATATTTTAAATCTCTACTGTGATTTCTTCCTTAATTCATAAACAATTGACTTTACAAATTTATTTCCAAAAGTACTTTTTTATTGACTGTGTTCAGAAAAAGTATATACAAGATGCTAATTTTTGAAATTTATTGATACTATCTTTTTGGTTCATCCCCCAAAAAATTGTATGTATCTTTCATATACACATGCTTGAAAATAATGTTAACTCTTTCTTATGGGCCGTAAGCACTCTATATGTCCATTGGTACTTGTATTGTTCAAACTTATTAATTTGGGGGGTTTTTCATAATTTTATAGAAGTGTGTTAAAATCTCCTCATATCTTTGTATTTTTGTCAAGTCTTCCTATAATACAACCATGTTTTCAGGTTCTTTTCAGAATTATACAGGCTTATGTTTGATTTATTGTCCTAGTGCATTGTTCTTTCTGTGATTACCAAATATTCGTCATTATACATAAAAATTATTTCTACCTTAAACTGTACTTACCTTGCACTAATAATGCAATGCCATATGGGTATTGTGGATTTAGAGGCCACACTTTTATAGCTTAAAAGCGCTGTTATGATTCCTTTTTTCTCCACTCATAGCCTGGTTACTTCTTTGTGTTGGTAGGGCAGTATTTCAATACAAGTTATTGGATAGAAAGGCGTTCATGCCTCCTGTCAATATGCTGAAAGCTTAGTTCAGCTCCCCATCTTACTCTGGGGTGAGATCGATGTATACTGTTAGTAACTCAGATTATTGTTGTACTTTTTGGTCACAATGCAGGAATATGGATCAGATCTACCTTCTAGCTGTGACAATAACAAGAAGAAGTAGGAAAGCAAATACATCAAACAACAATTTTAAAGGTTGGTTGTCTGGCAGCACACGTTCTTTGAGAAAGGAGATGCAAACAAGCCCTATAACTTCCCCAGATTCCTGACAGGTTGGAGATTTTAGGCTGCAGCTCAGGGAAAGGGACACCAGGTGGAGCCTGATTGCCTGCCAGAGTTGAGAAGACAAATGTTAGGAACTCAAGGAGGCTAGCAGGGTAGAATTCTCAGGGGAAAGTATCCAGATAGTTCCACAGTAAGTCTCTAGATATATGCAGAAGAATCTCCTTGGCTATTTAGCTGAGTATTAATCAGCAAATGTGTGTATGAAAACTAACCATGATGAAACAAAACTACCAAAATGAAGAAAAGGAGCAACCCTTCAGATCTCACATATGGCCAGGAATAGTTATAGTTTGTATTCCGATCAAAGAGAGTAAACAATTCTCATAATTCATGGAACATCAAGAAGAGTATGTAGAAGAGTAATGGGATCAAAATTAATCCTTGAATTAAGGCTGCTCTGATTTTACCTAATAAAACCAAAAACAGTCCTCAAAAGGAAATGGTCAAAGCTGTTTATAAGTAACTTAGCTGTGCCCAATAACAAAGCTAAAAAATTTTAGAGATACACAAAAATAACCAGGATCCATCAAGGTAAAATTCACAATATATGACATTCATTTAAAAAATAGCCAGTCATGCAAGGAATTGGAAAAATAAGCAGTTAAGCAATACTTAGATATAGACTACAAGAAGGTAGCAAAAGGTCTGGGACATGAAGAGTATTTTTGAAAGACTCATTTTCAATTCTAAATATAAAACTATAATTTATGAAATTAAGAAATACAATAAATGAAATTAACCACATATTAGACCCTGCAGAGACAGACTAGTGAAACTGATGATAATACAATAGAAACTATCCAATATGGAGCACGCGCGCGCACGCACACACACACACACACACACACACACACACACACACAAAACAAACAAACAGAGAATCATACAGCTATGGGGAAATGTCAAACCACATACAGGTAATAATAGGAGTCCTAAAAATTGGGAGAAAGAAGACAAAAGTGTTTAAATAAACAAAAGTTTAAAATTGTTCAAATTTGATGAAAGCTATAAATTTAAAGAACCAAGAAGTTCAGTAAACTCCAAGCACAAGAAGCATTAGGAAACTATACCACAGCATATCATAATAAAATTGCTTTAAAAATGAAATAAGAACATTTTATTTTTTTATTTTATATTTATATTTTTTATGTTTTATTATACTTTAAGTTCTAGGGTACATGTGCACAACGTGGAGGTTTGTTACATAGCTATACATGTGCCTTGTTGGTTTGCTGCATCCATCAACTTGTCATTTACATTAGATATTTCTCAAAGCAGCCAAAGAAGAAGACATATTATGTAATATAGGAAATAAAGATAAGAATGACAGCATATTTCTCATCAGAAACAATGGAAGCCAAACGACAGCAGGGAAACATCATTAAAGTACTGAAAAACAGAATTGCATAGCCAGTGAAAATGTCTTTGAAAAATAAAGACTTTCTCAGACACATACAAGAGCTAATAAACATTAGCAGGCCTCTATTACCAGATATGTTAAAGGAAGCCCTTCAGAAGAAATGATCCTTGTGGAAACATGGATCTATGCCAAAGAGTGATAAGCACTGGAAATGGTAAACATGTGGTTAAAAGCAGAAAAAGTGTTTTCTCTATATCAGAACATTTACTGTTTAGAGCAAAACTAAAAACTATATTATGGGGTTTACAACTTCTACGTAACATATTTAGAGGTAAAATGTATGATAATAGCACAAAGATTTGTGGGGAAGGCCGGACGTGGTGGCTCACGCATGTAATTCCAGCACTTTGGGAGGCCGAGGTGGGCGGATCATGAGGTCAAGAGATCGAGACCATCCTGACCAACATGGTGAAACCCCGTCTCTACTAAAACTACAAAAATTAGCTGGGCATTGTGGCACGCGCCTGTAGTCCTAGCTACTCAGGAGGCTGAGGCAGGATAATTGCTTGAACCCAGGAGGCAGAGGTTGCAGTGAGCTGAGATCATGCCACTGCACTCCAGCCTGGTAACAGAGTGAGAGTCTGTCTCAAAAAAAAAAAAAAAAAAAAAAATTTGTGGGGAAAATATAAACCTACTGTTGCAGTGTTTGCATGACATATGTAGAGTGCTATGTTACTTGGAGGTAGACTATGATAAGTTAAAAATATACACCACAAATCTGAAAGCAACACCAACAAATAACTTTAGGTAATAAGCCAATAATAGAGATAAAAGAGATAACAAAAATATTCCAATAATCCAAAATAAGGCAACTCTTGAATTTCCTTTTTGGCTCTGTAAGAATGTCATTTTCTTTATCTAAAAACCAGGTCTAGATTTTTAAAAACAAGTACAACAGGAAGAACAAAAGCTAAGAACTGGTCTTCACCCATATGCGTAACGTTTGTCTCCTTGCTGATCCCCATGTGTTGAGATGGCATGTGTTCCACTGACTATATAGGAGGCACAGGTGCTAACCGAAAATTGGCAGGCTGCACACTCCTGAATTGCAGGAAACCTATTCTCTGTGACAGCAGGGTCCTGATATCATCCTGTGCCTTTTAATACCTTAGTTCAGACAGTATCTTCCTTTAGTGTGAGGACAAAAAAGAGAGGCCAAGCAGTGGAAAATATTAACTAACTGAGAAAATGCAAAGGTGCATGGTAGATAATGAGTTCTTAGTTAAGATTAAGGATTACACACAAAGGCAAGAACTCTGTGGTCAAAGCCAGATTTTTGATATGAAGAAAAAAATAAACTTGGGTTCCTATTTCATATTGATTACAAAATTAAAGTCCAGTATATTCCTGATTATGAAAGGGAAAATCATACAGCTAATGGAAGAAAATATAGGAGAATATCTTTGTGACTTTAAGAAGGAAAATACAGGAGAATATCTTTGTGACTTTAAGATGGGGAAGTATTTCTTAAGCATTACATATAGTATAATTTAAAGATGAGAAATGAGTTGATTCACTATATCAAAATTAAGAATTTCTGGTAAAAGACAAAGTTAATGAATAGGGGACAAACTGAAGGAAAATAACTGCTAGGTGTAAAGCTGACAACAAATTGATAAGCAGGAAAAATAAACCAAAGCTTTGAATCAGAAATTAAAAGAAAGGTAGACTGCATAGCTAGCAAATATGTGGATATAAATGCAAACGGAAGGAACACTGCACATGTCAAATTTCAAAATTGGAAATCTGAAAACACAAAGTGTTGGCAATAAAGTGTGTAGACAGGTACATTTATGCGGTCTGGAGAAAAGTCTGGTTAGTGTTAACGTGAATATGTGCAGCCTGTGATTCAGAGTACTCTATGCCTTGGTTTACCCAGGCTCTGGTTCATGATGTTGTCATGGCATAATTATTAATAATACCCTCTTCCATTCTTAAAATTAGTTTAGTGTGGAGGATAAATTATACAATTGTCCTACTGATGAATAAGTAATTTTACATCCAATTTTCACAGAGAAACTTTCATATAGGCCCACAAGAGGATATTTACCAATAAACATAACAATGTTGTTTGTGTCAGTTGGAAAGCTGGGTATCCATTTCCAGAGGAACGACTAAATAATACTTGAGGGATGCAAGGCATGAACTACTATAAAGCAATTAGAAGCAATGAAGTAGAGTACATTGTGGAGATAGAATTAATTTATAACTATGCTGAAAAACTCTATATTTCCAGGGCATTGAGTGTTTGCATTTGACCCTTGGCCAAGATAAGGGAAGTTGAATTTATGATGTGTTGAGAACCTCCAGGGTAAGTTTTTTTCCTTATGACTGCATCTAGTCCACTGGGGTTTGACAAACCTGGCTTGTTTATTTAGCCAAAAAGACAAAGAAAGGCTTCCCAGGGAACTTATATTTTGCCATAGTTTGAATGTTTGTGTCCTCCAAAAATGTTGAAATCCTAAACTTCAAGATAATGGTATTAGAAGGTGCGGTCTTGGAAAGGTGATTAGATTGTGAGTGCTCTACGCTTGGGAATATCATTAGTGCCCTTATAAAAGAGACCACAAAGAGCTAGCTAGTCTCTTTCACCATGCAAGGACGCAGTTAGAAGCTGCCATCTATGAGGGAAGAGGGCCCTTATAGATTATAGACATCAACTCTGCTGGCATCTTGATCTAGAAATTCTTAGCCTCCTGAACCATAAGAAATACATTCTTATTGTTTATAAGCTACACAGTATGCTATTTTGTTGTAGCAGCCCAAATGGACTAAGACATCCTTTGAGCTATGCCAGAAATAGTGCCCTGTACATGGCATATCTTTGGAATCTCTAATGTTTGCTTATACACTTTTTCTTTTGCTGTACTGTATTTTTAAAAAAATTTAAATAAAAGCCTTATGCGAATATGTTCTGTGGAGCCTGATAAGTCCTTTCAAATAGTCAAACTGGGAAATACATACATTTAGCAATGTGGATAGAAATTATTCAGTAAAACAAGAAACTGAACAAAACAATACTTTATGACACTTGGTGCATCATAATATCCTTTATATAAAATAATTAAATAATAGACACACACGAAACATAGTATATTTTGCAAGGGTTATATATATAAACAGGGATGTATATCAAACATTAGAGTAAATGTCTGTGGAGAGTGAAGACATACAAATGGGAATCAGTAATGAGAAGTTGGGACTGAAGACCATAGTGTGCTAAGTAATGCAACTATCAGTATCCAAGGCTTCAAAATAATTTCTATTTCTAATTTGTATGTCAAGATCTTGTCCACAAGATTTATAGGTTTTATGGCTCATATACAGCTAGTCCCCTTAGTCTAATTTCTATGAGACACATTTACTGTGTTGCTAATTTGCTAATAACTGAGTATTCGCACAGTCAGTCACAAACGTGTGTGTGAGAAAATTAACTTCACACTCTGAAAAACTACCAGTCAACTTTAAGGTAAGTCATTTAAGCTCTAGCTTTAATAGAATTAGAGATAAACCTGGGATATTTAGATATATATTTGTAATTGACAAGAGTGATTTGGGACAAAATTGAAAACTGAAATTTTTTGTTTTAGTTTTTATCCCAAAATGCTTTCTTCTTAGAGCGCTTTCTGTAGCTTAAAAAACAACATAACACTTATAAAAAGTGCCAGATGGTCTTTCCAGGAAATTTAAGATCTTCTCTTTGATGGAATTCTTTGGAGAATCAACTTAAAATTATTTTAGTTGTTAAAAGGAAATAAAGAGATATGATCTTCTAGACAGTCTGACTTTTAGTGTGATAAGTCACTTTAGTCTATCTCTCTCTCTGTTTTAATTTTCAAAGTTCCTAAGCGCCTTCTTGTTAAAAATAGTTCATTGTTATGGCTAGAATTAAGAAGACGCCCCAAATCTCAACTAAATATCTACTCAATTGACAAGTACATTCTGAAAGGTTAAGACCTAACTCAGGGAGTTATCATATAATGACATGTGAGAAGGAATGTTTTCTCAAATTATTAATGTTCACCTTTTCTATGCTTGACACAAGGAAGACACTCAAGAAATAGTCTGGAAGACACTCAAGAAATAGTCATCAAGAATAGATGAAAGAATACATGCATGAAAATAAACAGATGCTTAGATTAAATAAGAGAAATGCTATTATATCGAACGCAGTACTTAAAATATTTGAAGGGTTATTATGCTAAAAGAGGGTGAATTTCTTTTTTATTTATTTCTTTTTAATGTGGAGGATCTGGCAGTCAAAGCTCAGATCAATAAATGGTAACTCAAGAGAAGCAGAGCTTAGTTCAGTATGACGAACTGTACTTGACAATGGAATGGAAATCTGAGAAGAGGGTGTGATGCCAGCTGCTGAAGGGGTTTAAGTGGAACTCTTAACACTCAAGAAAGCTGGCACTCAAGAAAGATGCAATAGAGAGGCTAGAACATTGGATGAAAGGTAGAACTAGGTGACCTGTGATCAACAATATCATTCTATGCTATGTTCAATGATAACTTGTAAGTCAATGCATCCAGAGAACAGAATAGAATAAGTAAATGGACAGCAGTCCTTTTAATATTATCTGCTACTTATAAATAGTCTTTGTTTTGCAACTCCAAAATTTTGGCCTATGCTGATTAATTATTAGCCAATACAATCTATCTATTTGTGAGAAAGACAGAGCCCTTATCTTGACTTACACATTCAGAAATATTAATACATGTGACTCACCTCTTCATTCATTCATTCAAGTTTTTTAAGTGCCCACTTTGTTTTAGACACTGGTGATTCAGTGTTGATAAGAAAACACAAAGTTTCTACTCTTAGAAAACTGAATTCTGGTGAGAAAGGATAGGTCACAAACACATCAAAGAATAAGGAAATATAAAATGTTCAGTGTGTGATAGTAAGGAGAATGGACTATAGGGAGACAAAAGTAAAACAGAGAACCCAGTTAAAAAGCTACTGTCATTTTCCAGCTAAAAAAATTTTTGAAGAACTCTCATTTCTAAATGAAGCAACCAGAAAATATATCCCTTATGGTTAATGTAGCCAAGAACATAAAGTATCTAGAAACAAATAAACAAATAAGTAGGTAAACCCAATGCACAAAGCTCTTTCTTGAGAAAATGATAACAATTTACTAAAAGACATTAAAGAAATCCCCAGTAAGTTAGAGTTGGAGAAGTATAACATGTTTTTGAGTGGAAAGGCTGAATATATTAACGATGCAATTTCTCCAAAAAATAGTAGATAGGTTCAATGTAATTGTTTAAAGATTTTAAGAAAATTGAAAACTAATTTTTAAAATGCATATAGAAGAATAAAGGGACAACACTAGCCAAGACTCTCTGCTAAATAAGGGACAACACTAGCCAAGACTCAAGTATCAGATGAAGAAATTTGCTATACAAAACATCAAAGACATATTATGAAGCTATTGTTATATAATTCAGACAATGTGGTATTTGGAATAGGCAAATAGCCAATGGCAGAAATAGTTTTAAAATAGACCCACTCATGTATGGAATCTCTCTATTTGTTATACTGCTGATCATCAGGAAATAGTATACTATTTAAGGTGCCGGGATCTGGATATTGTTTGAAAAAAAAAGTGAAAGTAAATCTCTACATGTGTCATTTTCAAAGCTTGTTTTAAGAGGTATTAAATATTTCAATGTGAAAGGCAAATTTTAAAAGCTTTAGAGGACAATATAGAAAAATATCACCGCACTTCAAGGGTTGAAAAATTTCTGCTAAAGAATAATAAAAAAAATCCAAACTCAAAAGGAAAATATTGATATATTTACTTAAAATAAATATTTTATTAACTGAATATGCCATAAAAAGAGTAAAAAGTCAAGACCTGAACTGGAAGAAGGTATTTATAAAAGTGGATTAAACAAATGACTATAGTGTTGAGAATACAGAATTTCTCCAGATCAATAATTACAAAACAATCAATAAAATTATGTTTAAATGACCAAATGTACATTTCAGAGGAAAGGAAATATAAACAGCCATTAAGTAAAGAAAAATTGCTCAACTGCATTAGCAATCAGGAAAACAAAAATTTATAATAACAAAAAGATGCCTCCTTATACTCCACAGACGGACAAAAATTAAAAGTCAGAGACAATAATGAGTATTGGTGAGGGAATGGAGAAAGTGTAATGTTCAACTATTGCTAATGTGAGTGTAAATCAGCACAAACACTTAATAGTTTGGCATAATCTATTGCATTTGAACATGTGGAAATCTCAACTTTGTTCTTCTACTCTAAATATGTACTTTGTAGAACCTCTCGCACATACTTACAATAGACTATTACCAGAATGTTTGTAGTAGCATTGTTTTTAATCCAGAAGGACAACAATGAAACATCAAAAAACCACAACCATCATCTTGGAAGCCATTCAAATATTTACCCATATTAGAATTTATATATACATTGTAAGATAGTAAGACAATTGCCTAATGTAGAACAATAAAAACAAATGAACTACAAATAGACGTATCAGCATAGGTGAATCTACAATCAAGATGTGGAGAGAAAGGAGTAAATTGCAGAAAAATATATACAATACTACTTCATTTAAGAAAAATTCAAAGACAATCAAAACTAAAAAATGTATTATCCAAGAAGGGTGTGTGTTTGTGTGTGAAAGAATACTTTTTAAAAAGTAAGAAAATGAAGAACATGTGAATCATTGCAAGAAATGGATGGCAATTTAATTAGCATTTAAGGAGCCTCAAAATTATTGATATTGTTTTATTTATGATGTTAAATATTCATTGAAAAATATTCCTTAAACTTTACATATACTTTTTATGTTTCTTTCATGAAATATTTTACAGATATTATAACTAGTAAAAATAAATCCTAGTGTGAATAGGATTTTAGCAATGGAGATGGAGAGAATAGACAGATTTCAAACAATTTTTGGTGTTATTGCTGGTAAGATTTTATGATGTGTTGCATGTGCATAATGAATGAAAATGTGATATTATAAATTAATCTCAAGATTGTGCTTTCAATAAACAGGGTACATGTTGTTGCTAATTCTTCAAATAAGAAATATGTTTACCAATGAAATAAGAGTTCGAATCTGGACTTGCCATTTTTGAGATGTATAATAGACATACCCAAGAACATCTCAAGTTGACAGTTAGATATATGCATTTTGAAATAAGGAGATATACCAAGGCTGATGATACAAATTTAGGCACAAATGGCATACAGATGGCATTCATTTTAAACCATGGAACTGGATATGACCACTTTAGGAAGGACTGTGGATTGAAATGGAAGAAGGTACATGGTCAAGACATGATTTTTCAAATATTAAAGTTTGAATAAATGAGTTATTTACATTTTAATCATCATTGGAACATTTAAATACCTTATTTTTATCATAATTTTCCCAATATAGTGTTTTATTTGTAATACCTTACTTCAAATTCAGTTTTGAAATAGGCAGAGTATACATACATTTAATAAGTAGGCAAAGACATTTTCGTCTTTGCTTCACTTCAGTTCTTTCTTCTTTCACTAAATTGCCTAAGGCATAGAAAAATGTACCTTAAAATTTCATTTTATTGATCTCTTCACTCCTCTTATGTAAAGTCTACTAAAATAAGTCCTAGATTCTAGACAATTATTAAAGAAGTTATTTATAGCTACACTTTTATATCCTCTTACAAATAACCATTGAAAAAATTATTATGTCATTCTTTCTGGCTTTTTTTTTAGAAACACAATTAAGCTTTATTTGTGAGAACTACTGAGAAATAGATCATAGAAACTAGCAAAAATAAAATGTTGAATACTGGTTTGATGAATATTTTATTCATCATGATTTGTTCAAATATAACTTCTTAAAAAGTGCAAAGTCACAAATATATATGAATTTGTATTTCTTTTGATATTTAATGTCCTGAGTTTATTCTACTTCTTCAAGTACAAAGCAATAATATTGTCAGATACATTGTTGTAAAGGCAAAGACAATATTTTTGGTGAGAATCATTATTGTTTTCCATTTTTTTAAAGCTATATCCATTTTTATTTTCCCCTAGTAAACTTTTATTTTCTTAGAGTTTATTAAATTTAGCAAGTAGTTTTTCCTATGCTATTAAAATACATCATTGTCCTGCCAATGGACTTTGATAGCTAACATTGTAGTAGAGTTCTTATTTTTTTCACAAAACTATTAAAAAATATGAAAGTTTTCAGTTCCGATTATGTTGCTTTTTCTGATGGAGGTGATGTTTTTTACACTAGAAACATATTGTAGAACAATAGGATTATTATCCTAAATGTCCTCAGAAACATTTTGTCTCATACATTAGAAGACAAACTGGTGATGCCAATATCGAGAAGACTAATAAAACAATATTCCATTAAAAATGATATATTAATCTCATGCATTTATTTTCTTGCCTTTCAACAACCTTACCAAAATGACTGTAAAGGAATAATATGTCTTTAAATACTCAAGGGGAATGGGAAACAGAGAGGAATATCAGCACCTGAAAGATTTCAACAATTTCAGGAGGAATCAGAAAGCAAATGAAAGAATAGTAACTGACTTAACTTCGAGAGTAGTAACTGACTTCAGATGCCACCTAAATACCTAGAGAGAGGGAGAGTGACAAGAAACTAGTCAATATAGCTGTGGTGTCCAAAAAGCTCAGTATTTGAAGGCACTGAGTGTTGTGGAAATTTAAAGTTGTTGAAAATGGAAGGTTGGTCGAAGGAATGCATATAAATCTGGTGTTTCCTAGTCTCCCTTCCCCACCTTTGAAAATGTACAGGGAAAAAATCTTGAATATCTATTTTCAAGAGAAATTAAAACATGGTGCCTCTGAACATGGGCACGTATGAAGAGGAGTAAAGAAATAAAGTGCAGATCAGAGCCAAATACAGGAAGGCAGCAAGGATCTGAAAATGAAATGGTGGGACTCTTTGAGCCCAAAACTCTAGCCACAGGAATATATGTTTAAATAAGAAGATTAAGGAGTCTTCTTTTCAGAAACAGAATGGTTGGCGGCAGGGGCAAGGAGAAGCAAAAGCCTAAATATTGATGTCTCCCAATGAAAAAAGACCAACTCACTGATTAATCACGGTAAATGAAATATATCTAGCAAATTGCACCTAATGCATAAAGAGCTTCAATTAGTTTTGTTTGACCTTTGTTTAATTATGAATGCCTAATTAACGATCATGAAAAATTTGGTTAAGACTCTAATATGGGCCGGGTGCGGTGGCTCAGGCCTGTAATCCCAGCACTTTGGGAGGCCGAGTCGGGCTCATCACGAGGTCAGGAGACAGAGACCATCCTGGCTAACACGGTGAAACCCTGTCTCTACTAAAAATACAGAAAATTAGCCGGGCGTAGTGGCATGTGCCTGTAGTCCCAGCTACTCGGGAGGCTGAGGCAGGAGAATGGCGCGAATCCAGGAGGCGGAGCTTGCAGTGAGCCAAGATCGCGCCACTGCACTCCAGCCTGTGGGACAGAGCGAGGCTCCGTCTCAAAAAAAAAAAAAAAAAAAAAAAAAAAAAAGAAGACTAATATGAAAGAAAGAGATCAAAGCAAGCACACTGTAAGAAGGTTCATAAGAGGAAAGGTGTATTGAATATCTGAGCTATAAAAGAAGATGTATCTCTGAAACAAAAGCAGAATTATATGAAGCCAGAGCAGCCAGAGAGCAAGAAAAAGCTCATGGAAATATAACCAAAATTAAAATTCCAGTAGAAAATTTGAAAAACACAGTTGAGGAAATCTCCCGGAATGTAGAAAAAATTGAAAGGGAGAAAGTTGTAATGAAAAAATTAAAACAAGTAGAGTCAATTCTGAAGGTCCAACATCTCATTCATATGCATCCCGGAAATAGAACACAGAGGAAACAAGTTAAAAATTATTTTAATAAACACGAACAAAATAACTAAGATCATGACTGCAAGTGCTCACTGAATACCTAAGAAAGTAACGTTGTAAAGAAACTCTTACAGTGTGCAGCACCTTGAAATTTCGGAACGCTAGGGATAAAGAGCAAATAATGGAGACTATAAAGTTGATGTGGAGGCAGATCACATAAAAAGGAACAACCAAAGGAATATTCTTAACCACAAAACACTGGCTATTAAGCATTGACTACATTATTAGTTGAGTGTGAGGTTAGAATGAGGATAGATTAAAGTTGATATCACATAAAGACTCCAAAGTGTATTTTCATGTGTTCTTTCAGACGTTATTGTAGGATATGCTCCAAAAAAGCAAGAGAGAAAACCCAGAAAGAGAACTCAGAAAACAATAATCCAGCCAACAAAGAGCTGTAGGGAATCTACAGAATGATCACTGCTTGCTGAGACTAAAGAACAATCAATCCAGATGGAAAAAGGGTGGAGAGCTCCAGCAGGAGATTTTACAAGGTGAGAGGAGGGGGAAGAAGCCGATAGATTACCAGATAATTTTGAGTTTTTAAAAATTACATTAAAAGGCTTTTGATAGTTTGGATAAACTATGGAAAAATAGGAACAGTTACGTAGAAAACCATGCACATTAATAAAGAAAAAGAAATTATTAACTCCAAGAACAACATGAAGTTGTATAAGAAAGAATAGTAGAGAATTTAGATCAAAAATGAGTACCTACACAATCCTAATAATATATAAACTGACTAAAGTTTCTAATATTCTTAGTTTATGAGATTGGGTAAAAGGGATGTGTATGTGTGTGTGTTGGTGGGGGAGCAACTGTGAGGATCCTAACCTCATTACCATAACACAAAGTCAAAAACAACAATAGCATTGATTAATGAAGTCACAGCATCATAAGAAAATTATACCAGAACCATGTCTGCATTTGTGTATTTGTGAGTATTGTGTCTCTGAGGTGTCAATCTGGGGGAAGGCAAGGGCTGGGGAGGGAATGGAAGTGTTCCTTTACTAGACTTTTTGTATTATATAATGGTTTTATGCTTTTGAGCATATTGCTCTGATAAAAATTTTGCATATTCATAAAATAATGAAGAGAGCCATCAGTGAACTAATAATCAAAGTTTCCTTATTACAGTCTATTTGTTTATCTGATATATAAACTTCAAAAAAGTGTTCCAGTTTGTAAAACAAGGCCAACAACATTTGCAGCCGAGCAGTTCATGTGGTATATTTGAGAACTAAATAACTACTCTTAGAAACATGTCAACTGCCCAGAGGAAATAACACTGCAAACATAAAACAGTGTTACAACATGCCTATGTTAACTTTGAATTTCATTAGGAGTTTAATATTTATATTTCTATATATCAAACAGTATAATACATTGACAATAATTTAAATTATTTACTTTATACTTATGAAGCCAATGCCAAGTATATATGTTGTTCTCAGCAGTTCCATTTTCAAATGAAAGAAATCAGATGGCTTTGTCAGTTTTATCTCACATGGCGAAATGCTAAATAAATTATTTTAATGGGCCTAAATATTTTAGGTGAAAACTCAAAAAGCATGTGGATATTTGTCTCCTTGGATGAAGGAAGGCTGCAATTTATATTCACAAAGCAATATAAATTAATTCAATAGCCACTTGAAAGCCCTCAGGTAATTCCCAGATTACCAGCAAGGCTGTCTATCAAGTGAACTTGCAGTCCTTAACATTGTGTAAAGATATCTTAATAATCACTATTAATATTTCCTCCTTTATATCCCAGCCCAAAATAGTCTTCCTATATTTCCTTAAATCTTGACATCAAGTTATAAAGTACCATTTGGTGTAGAAAATGCAAACATGCAAGCATTCTTTATGTAGTATCAGCTCCTAAAGAAAGGGCCTGAAAATCTGGGCTATTTCTGAATTCCATGGATATGTTACCCACAGAGAAACTGACTGCCCTGAGTCACAGCTCACTTCAGACCACTTGCCCAGTCATTTCATTATTTATAGTAAATAATAGGCTGGTGACATAGTCTGGACAATGCAGCTTGTGTAACTATCCTTTCTGGTATGTTTTAAGAGGTGGAAGAACAAAGCCCACTCTAACAACAGGCTATTTGGGGATATAAATATTTGTTAATACCTACTGCAAAACATGTACGAGGGGAAAAGAAATGTCATTCTTTTACTTATGTATGTATTAAACTTTAGAATCCTACAGGCCTCTTTCATTGACCCATTGTCAAATCGGTCAGTGAACTTAAGTTGACATAAAATTTAAGGAATCGGCTGATACTAATTTCAGCTGATGAAGCACTAGCCTGAATAAGACAGGCAGTTTTAAACATCTAAAGGTTTAAAATGTGTACTAATTTCCATTAGATTCAGTTATACATTCATATTATAAGAAGATCCAAGTCCGTATAATTTTCCTTTCAAAATATAATGAAATGAATGAATTATTAAAAGTTAAGGAAATAAAAAGTTATACATAAGTAACTTGAGTTTGTATATATGTCAAACCTGCTTTTGCAAGAAGAAGAACTAGTATATATACATATATATTTGTCAGGAAAGTGAGATTCATTTCTGAAGCACAAAATTTCCATCATTTTCTTACAGATGCTAAATATGAAATGGTACAAAATTAAAATTTAGGATTCCATGGTTTCTCAAGTTTTCTTGGTATCAAACCCTGGTCGAAGGCTTTGTTTCTGATGTATGCAAAGGGAATGTGAAACTTTGATTTTTCTCCTACTGTTTAAAGTCTTCACTATTATTAGTTTCAAACTTGGCTCCTAACACAACAAACTTTTTGTTGTATTTCTGATTTATGTGCTATAGTAGCTTTCTGCTAGTAACTGACAAAGCAGAAATACACACACACACCTACACACACACGCACACACACATCTATATAATACATAGGTGTATTGCCTAAAAACTAAAATCAGGCCCAGTGTGCTGGCTCATGCCTGTAATCCCAGTGCTTTGGGAGGCCAAGGTGGAAGGGTTGCTTGAGGCCAGGAGTTTCTAATGAGCCTGGGCAACACAGTGAGACCTCTGTCTCTACAAAGAATTAAAAAAAAAAAATTCGCTGGCCATGGTGGCGTGAGCTTGCAGTCCTTGCTACTCAGGAGGCTGAGGCAGAAAGATCACTTGAACCCAGGAGTTCCAGGATGAAGTGAGCTGTGTTCATACCACAGCACTCCAGCCTGGGAGACAGAATGAGACCCTGTCTCTTAAAAAAAACAATAATTAAATTAAAACTAAAACCATCTAATTACTTTATTGCCTATATTTTATACAGTGACAATATTTGATTGTAACAGCAAAGTTTTAGAGATAAAGGTAATTTTTCTTCTAAAAACTATAGTTATATAGGTGACCATATTGCTTTTAAATGACCTTATTTTTGAACCTAATGTTCAAAAGAACAATGAGACTCCAAAATATTCTTTAGGAAATGTCCATGAAGTATGAAGTGAGAGCAGTTATGATCCTATCCCTTTAACAAAGAAGAAAAGGGACATGCCAGAAGACTAATTTTAGTTTCTTCCAAGAGCCTTATTATTAAACAAAAATCTGACTCCTAACTATATATTAATAAACTTGGCTTCTTCAGGAAATTCATGTCCAAACTCAATATTACTTTCATTATACCATTTGCTTTCTTCCCAAGAAATGACTGGGAAGAAAGTCATTGCAAGACCCTATTCTTCTAGCTCTGCTTGTAAATGCTGTGTTTTATTTTTTAACAAACCAAAGAAAACAGACATCATCAAATTTTATGTAAACGGCTGTGCTAATAGGCCACGTGCAGCTGCCAGGCAGGCTGCATTCTCAGGGATGGGGACACTGTGGATATTGTTTGGTGCAGTACAAATTTTATGTTAAAAACCAACTACTGCTAATATTCGGTGAGATAATAAAATAACAGGTTTTTAGAACTGGAATCATCTGGGCTAATGGTTTGCAACCTTCTCACTAGTAGATATTTTTTATTATTTTAATTGCAGGCCCTAAATTTTAAAAGATTTTAAATCAGTAAACAAGCCGTAGTTATACTGTTATTTTGTAATACTGAAAATCTAAATGGAATTTTAGTTTAGTTTGAAAACTCCATTACTACCTGTGGGGATTCAAGTTGGGAATGAATGAATGAGTCTTTCTTCATTCCACAGATGACAGATGTTGTGTCAGGATGAGGGTTGTACAAGGTTACACAGCTAATGAGAGGCAGCACTGGATATAGAACAATTTATAAGGAGGGAAACAATTTGTTAAAGCACCATCTTGGGCCCCTCATTAGCATCTCGCGCCTTTAATGTTTCTGTTCCCCATCGCCCTTTCAAGCCTCTATTCTTCTAGCTCTGCTTCTCATGCTGTGCAAAGATTTTAATTAATAGCAAGATACTGATAATGTTCAATCCATTTCTCAACCTGACCTCACTCTTGATATTTAGACCTGCTTATCCTATATCCTATTGAATACTACACACTCACTGGCCTTTAGGCCTTTACTTGCGTTGCATGTTTATCAGTAATACCATCCTTTATCTTTTCAATGCTTTTTTTTTTTTTTTTTGAGACGGAGTCTCACTCTGTCTCCCAAGCTGGAGTGCAGTGGCATAATCTCAGCTCACTGCAACCTCAGCCTCCTGGGTTCAAGCGACTATTCTGCCTCAGCCTCCCGAGTAGCTGGGACTACAGGGGTGTGTCACCACGCCTGGCTAATTTTTGTATTTTTAGTAGAGATGAGGTTTCACCATATTGACCAGGCTGGTCTCAAACACCTGACCTTGTGATCCACCTGTCTTGGCCCCCCAAAGTGCTGAGATTACGGGCATGAGCCACCACACCTGGCCAATGTTTCTTCTAATGACAGTTCAAATCTCTTCTTCTCTGTGAGACATCTGATTTCCATCCTCCCACTATATCCAGGTAGAAATAACGTGGTGTTCCCTGTGCTCACATTGCAAGTCAGAGCATTTGTTCTGTTTTCTGATTGTTTGTTCATGTGTATCTCTCCAGCTAGATGGAAAGACTCCTAAAGGTAGGAGGAGTGTCTGCTTCTTCTCTGTAACTCCAGTGCCCTACATATGCTGGCTCTGACATATGCCTGTCAAATAAGGCTTTATGTATGGTGCATAATTACTATCTGCTCAATATACTAGAAAGTATCCATTAGCCACATTTACTCATGCTTAGAGTAACTATAAACTTTACATAGCTATGTTTGTGCAATTTTTATTAACATCAAAGTACTTCAGTTAAAATATAGCACAAAATGACAAACTTTAAAAAATCTTCTTTCACTAATGAATTAACCAGTGAACTTCATTATTCAGATAGAAAAAAAAGTTGCCTTTTTCTATCTGAATAAGGCAAAAATTCATGGAACACAAAGGCATTATAAAAATAACCATGTGCATACCCCATAGAGGTACGTGCCAAGCTTAGTGAATTGTGGACATCATTATGGACTAGTAATTTTATGGAATAGTAATTTTAAACATGATCCTCTCCCTTGTTTTGTTTTTAAAGATTCCGACAAGTGAGTATATAGAGAGGAAAAAAATGCTCTTTCAGTGTATTTGACAAAGATATATTTGTGATGCAATCTACAAAGTGATGCAGAGAATAATAGGAGAAAGATACAATTTTTTACATCATTAGTGTTTTTAATGCACATTTTCCATATTTATAATCAGTCATTCCTATGCTCTGACTGCTTAGAAATAAGGTGGTACGAAATAAGATAAGAGATATGGAGAGAGGGTAGTGTAGTGGTTCTGAGTCTGGGATTTATAGTCAATTGGGTTTGAATCTTGACTCTGCTACTTGCAGCTATATGACCTCAGCAAGTTAATTAACATCTCTAAACCCCTAGTTTCTCATTAAGAAATGGAGTCTATAATAGAACCTATTTCTTTTCTTTTCTTCTTAAATAGAGATAAGGTCTTACTATATTGCCTAGGAACCCAGCCTATAGAATGTATTTCATGAAGTCATTGCAAGTATTAAAAAGAATAATTCATAGAGAGCATTTTGCACCACATCTAGTTTAATAGTCACAATAAATAAAATTAACTATTATTGGGCTGGGTGTGGTGGCTCACGCCTATAATCCAAGTACTTTGGGAAGCTGAGATGAGAGCATTGCTTGAGCCCAGGAGTTTGAGACCAGCCTGGGTAACATAGTGGAACCCTGTCTCTACAAAAGAAAAAAAAACTTAAATTTTAATTTTAAATATTAACTATTATCATTTATATAATTATTGATTGGCTGTTGTTAAAATTTTGGTCATAGATGTTTAGGGATAGAAGAGATCTTAGTGACAATTTTTAAAAATGCCGTGAGTCTTGCTCCTTTGTTGATGTAGTAATGGTTAAACTGCCATAGCTTCCAGGTATTCAGATTTGCAGCCCATTGCTCTTTATACTCTTCACTAAAACGACATTTAAGCTTCATTTTTAAAATAATTGATTTGCCATGGGCAAACCAATTTTTTTACTTCCAGAATTATTTTATCTGTGATCATTAATCAGAATGAATAATAGAGGCAGAAAATTAATAGTTATTATATCTGGGCAAATGTGTAAACATTGTTATAAATTCTTAATTTTTGCATCATATTTTTCAGCTTTATCCTCTCCATAATAACTACCTCCCAGAACATACTATCCCTTACCAGACAACTAGAACAAATCCTATCTGAGGTAAATTGCTCCCAGAGATAGCCCCACATACTTCCTCACTTACAGGAGCTGTTTTAATGACTGCTGCTGCAGAACAGCACCTCTGACCTGCAGTCAATTTCCAACTGCAGACACATCTGCTGTCAGAATTCCATCCTAATTCTAAAAAGTCCTCTACTACATCTGAAATTTCTTTACTTTCAATTTGTTCATAAAATGCAAAATTAGATTTCAAAGAATTTTTATCCAATATGCATTAGCTACCTTGATAGACTGAGATTGTTTTAATGTCACTTTTCATCAACTCATTTTGAGAGTGCTCATATTTATTTTGTCATGCAGTAATATTAAATATATATGCTAAATTTAAGCGAGAAGACTAACATCTATCTGATAAGCCCCTACTTACATATGCTTCAATGTTTCTATTTAGATTACTGCATCCTTAGCAAAGCAATGCATAATTCAGATCCCAAGAGAAAAATGATTGAAAGAGAATCTAGGATATATTATACATATACATATACATTCTGGTTTGTAAGTTAAACTGCATACATATTTTCACATTCAAGTTTTTATTCAAAATTTTATAATAATGATTTTCCATGTAATTCTAACTTAATTAAATTAATTAATTAATTTTTTTTTGAGATGGGGTTTTCCTCTGTCGCTCAGGCTGGAGTGCAGTGGCACAATCTCGGCTCACTGTAACCTCTGCTCCCCAGGCTCAAGCAATCCTCCCACTTCAGCCTCCCAAGTTGCTGGGACTACAGGTGTGCCACACCATGCCCAGCTAACTTTTTGTATTTTCTGTAGAGATGGAGTTTCCCCGTGTTGCCCAGGCTGGTCTCGTACTCCTGAGCTCAAGCGATCCTGCCACCTTGGCCTCCCAAAGTGCTGGAATTACAGGCATAATTACAATTTTAAGGCTTGTATAGTATTACATAATATGGTTTGCCATAGTTAACTTTTCTCATTTTGTGGGACATTTATAAGGTTCCCAATATTTTGTGATTACAAATAATGCTTTAATAAATGTATTTAAATAAATGTCTTTTTTCTGTATTTCAATGTTGTTCAAATAGCTTCACAGAAATATCAATTCTGGGACAAAGAATGTAAACATTTTAAGTATGTAATTATTTTTATCAAACATACTAGGATAGGTGTCCCCTCACTTATCAGCTCATCAACAAGGTAAGATAATATTTCTCAAGTGCTTTTTGTTTGCATATTTTTATTATTAAGGAAGTTAAATATTCTGTAATTCATTCACTATTGTTTGTAAAATAATGAATAATTTATAATTTATTCATGAATTGTGCCCATTATATTTTTTTCTTTGATCTCTGTTTTAATTATTTTGTGTGTTTTTTTAGCTGTGTTTTAATAATTTGCTCTGTTAGCTGGGTGCGGTGGCTCACGCCTGTAATCCCAGCACTTTGAGAGGCCGAGGAGGGTAAGTTACGAGGTCCAGATATTGAGACCATCCTGGCTAACACGGCGAAACCCCATCTCTACTAAAAATACAAAAAAATTAGCTGGGCATGGTGGCGCGCGCCTGTAGTTCGGCTACTAGGGAGGCTGAGGTTGGAGAATCGCTTGAACCTGGGAGGTGGATGTTGCAGTGAGCCAAGATCGCACCACTGCACTCCAGCCTGGGCGACAGAGCCTTGAGACTCCATCTCAAAAAAATAAAATAAAAAATAAAAAAATAAAAAAATAATAGTTTGTTCTGTTTAGCTACTTACTAATCTTCCTTGAAATTATCTTACCAAAAATTATTCACTTCTCTGAATTTTAAAATTGATTTTTAAATTTCCTAAAGGTATTCTATTGAGATTTTTATTAAAATTAAATTAACTATATTTTTAAAAATCTTGTCACTAAGATTTTTTCCAATCTTCTCATTTGGCAATCTGATTACTCATTCCATTAAGCCCAGCAAAATATTGTAGATCTCATTCATTTCTTGGTAAGATGATTCTTTTCTTGTCTTTACTTTTTTTTTTTTGAGATGGAGTCATGCTCTGTAGCCCAGGCTGGAGTTCAGTGGCGCGATCTCGGCTCACTGCAACCTCCGCCACCAGCGTCCCGGTTCAAGCAATGCTCCTGCCTGTGCCTCCCGAGTAGCTGGGATTACAGGCACGTGCCACCATGCCCAGCTAATTTTTGTATTTTTAGTAGAGATGGGGTTTCACTATGTTGGCCAGGCTAGTCTTGAACTTCTGACCTCGTGATCCGCCAGCCTCGGCCTCCCAAAGTGCTGGAATGACAGGCGTAAGCCACTGCGCCCGGTCAATGATTCTTAACTATCATATTTTACATTTGTTTCTGTAAATAGAATCCTATTTTCTTTATATTTTTAATTGGTTATTATCTGCGTACAAAAAGTCTTTGGATTTTAACATGCTTGTTTCCAGACAGTTTATCTGACTTCACAATTTTACTTCTTTTTTTCTCCAGTTCATTTTCTTAGGTTCTCCATATATGGGTAGCTTCTTTCCTCAGCCCATGGACAAAATTTACAAACACTATTTTCACAATGGCATGAAGGATAGCAAGTTTAGGTGGCATATAACTCATTTTAAGAGAAGATATTATCTACAATTATATTTTTACCAAAGCATAACTTTCCTCGTTTCTCTAGTAACAGCTTAGCCCACTGAAATCTGAAGTTCATACCTAACACTACTTAAACTGCTTTAAGTCTCACATTTATTTTTCAATTTATTCAGATGCTAATCAATGCGATAGAGGAAGGATAAAAATAGTTTGCTATGTCACCAATGATGTCTCAATTATCAAATTAATTGCTTCATTCATAACAATTATTTGTAGAATTCCAACTAACATTCTTTAGGCTGAGTCATACTATTATTATAGAATTTGACAATGCAGTTTTCTTCATCTTCATATTGGGTATTTTTGGTTAACTCACCCGTCTTTGCATGGTCTTCTAGTATATCTCTGATCTTCAGACTACTACGAGGACCATCTTCTACTCATTCCTTAAGTATTGTTATTTCTAGGAGGATTGTTTTGTTTCTCAATATTACTGTCTTTTTTTCTTTTCTTATACTTTCCTCTTGGGCAAGCCAAGCTATTTCATGGCCTCAAATATGACCTGTACATGGTTGATTTCCAAATATATACACTAGCTGTCCCCTCTTTCCAGAACTGCATTTCAAACTTGTCACTTCTATCTGGATGACTAAAATGATTAATCCAAAGTTGGATTCATTATATTTTCTTCAAAATCATCTTTTCTGTTGGAATTCATTAATTCAGATAATGCATAATTATAATGATAAAAATGATGTATGATAATAGTGACATTATAGTAATAATAAAAAAGAAACATTCATTCAACACCTATTATACTCCAGACACCATTTTAAGAGCTTTACATGTACTAACTCATTAATCATCACAACAATCCTATGAAGTAAACATACGTATTACATATTTTATAAGTAAGAATATTTAGGCACAAAATTTGAGGAAATTGCCCAAGGACATACTGATAAAATAAAAGGTAGAAAAACTAGCTTTATAGTCTCCACACGAAGTTGGTTCTTTTTTTCTTTTTTAAAAAAGAAACACAACCACAATTCTATACTTCCAACCACAATTCTATACTTCCAAGCTAAAAGCTAAAAGCATCAGAGTCATCCTTGAGTCATTTTTTCCTCTTATATCCCTAAATAATTTACCAAGACCTGTCAATCTGGTCTCTTGCATACTCAATGCCCTTCTCATCACCTCTACTCCCCTTTGCTTTTTCAAGCAACCACTAACTCTTATTTAAAGTGTAGCAAAGACTTCCCACTTCCAATATTTTATGCTTTCATGATGCCTCTGATACGATCAGGTGTGACTCCGTCATTCCTATGTTTAAAGCACTTCTGTTTTCTGTTTAAAATCTTTCTGTTTCATACAGGATAAAATTCAAACTTCTTGACAAAGTACACAAGGTCTTTTATATTCTAAAGTTGTATTAAGTTTCTGGACATTCTTCACTTGCCCCTCAACCCTACCTCAAACATATGTTCCCAGTTGTAATGATTACTTATTATTACCTAAACATGAGTATGTGCGTATACAACATATATGTATATATTCATATATATATATATTCATAGCCTAATGAGTTTATGTATCCATAGCCTAATAAATATATAAATATATATATATGTATACATATATATCAATATCCTTTAAGCTAGGAATTCCTCAATGGAGAGGTCATGCCTTATTGATCTATATTTTTTAACCTTAACAATATACAATACTCTGCACATGGCAGCTATTCAATAAGTTTTGGCTGAACACATGAATGAATTAAGAAAGTAATGAAGAATATAAAGCTTTTAGGTAAACCATATTTTAGGGTCCATGATGTTCATTTTTAAAAATTCAGCCTCTCCTACAACTGAAAAAATTGAGTGTGCAAGATCCAGGAATTAGGCAAGATTCTGGAAGAGGTATACCACACACAGTTTCTCTGAATATTCAGGGAGGAGAACGAGGAAAATCTTTACTATGTCTATTCCGCAAGTAATGCCTTTCCCAAGTAGTTCTGGAAATAAAGTACATATATTTGTATGAGTTATACAAAGATTTTTATGTACTCTATCAGCTTACTAATTATTGGGGGCTTGCTTTCCATTTGAGGAAGTTGGCCTATGGTCCTATTGCTTTAAGAAGACAAATGGATTACAAAATCACCATCATGGTTGGAATGTGGAAGAACATGTTAAATTAGGAGAACAGTGGCCTCTTTTTTACAGTAATTTATGAGTGGTGACAGGAATAAATGGCTTCGGATGACAATAGCCCTGTCAGTACCAAATGATAATATCATACTTGTGGTTAAATAAGCCACATCTGTCACAGAGGACAATGTGTAGAGCAATCAGTATACTTGTTAGAATCATAATGCTTATAATAAAATAATTCTGATTATCATTCCCCTTAGTTCTAGATTTTTATTTAAATTTCTATCCTATATCAATATTATATTGATATACAAATGTATTAAATGTGCATTTTAATGTGAACCATACTAAATCACTTTAAAGAAACAGATGAGAATAAGCAAAATTCTAAATAGAAAGAAAAAAGAAACTAAAACAGAGCCCAATCAATTAACTTTCTTAACTATTTCCTTACTATAAGGTAGTTATTGGGATAAACACAATAACCACTCAAAAATCAGGGTTGTGTAACTCTAAACAATGCAGTGGTGACCTGAGTCATTTAGCTGCACAAATACCTGGCAAGTGAAATGACAGCATCTAAATCATAGATTAGCTAGGAAAAGAAAAATAAAATGTTTGTACTAAAACAGTTGCTTGATAAATGTATCCTACTTTTCTTCAATGTTCATTTTTGATAAATGGCCAGACTTTGGAATGACTTTGCCTTGACACTTATCTCACAGTCAGCAACCATTATCTTGCGACAACAATCTATTCCTTTCTGTTATCTTGCAGATCATAACTGTTAAGTATTTTCACTGAGAATTTCCTATCAATTTTGTTATTTATGTCATAGAGGACCAAACTTTCTAATAAAGTATATTAGGCATATAGCTTGTAATTAAAAATTCAAAGTAATAGATCTATAGCAGTTTTGTAGCTGTTGTCTACATACATATCCCAAAGGAGGAAATGTTATGAAAAACAAAGCAAATGCTAACAATTTTTTTTAATTCACATTTCTTCAAATTGCATATAAATTCCCGAGAAAGTTCACAGACTTGGAGCTTAAAGAGATAGAACAATATTGTACTTATTAACATACTGGTCACATCCCATCATATTAGATGGAGTAGCCACATGGCCAATTACTTAGAGAACTGAGCAAGTTGCCAGGAATTTGTAACCATTGGCAATCTTCTCAATAAACATATTTTTTCCAAGTGTTCTTGCTCCTGTGGCTACAGGAGGCTTCTCAGAGCATGCAAGGAGAGGAAAAATTGAAAGGCAAATCCTTAAGAGAGCATTGTTTGTATGGCTAGTTCATTTCAAAACATTCATACTGAACAACTAGACAGTGAATTTTATTAGTTCGACCTTGACTGCCCCACCATGGGAATTCAGTTTAATTGCCTTATCTTACAATAAGGAAACTAAGTCTCAGAATATTTTTATAATTTGGCCAAGTCTACCTAGACAGGAAGAAGAAGAGTTACGACGTGACACTAGTAACTCTTCCAGAAACATCTAATCTAGTGTTCTTTCTACTAATCATTGTTCTTAAAATTCACATGGAACATGTACTAAAAATATAGATTTCTTGGTCCCTACCCCAAATGTGGAGTGAAGCAAGGGAATTTTCATTTTTACTGTTTAGAGTATTGTGTTGTAGCAATCTAAGAACATATTTTGAGATGTACTTTTCTATGCTACAATATTTCTTCATACACATAAAATAATTCTTCATTGCTTTGGCTAGCACAGCAGCTTTCTCAACAGATTTCTTCGACATTCAGTTCTAGAATAGCTAATGCAGGCTGAGGTGGGGAGAAAATTGAATGGTGTGTGTATGTGTGTTTGCGTGTGTGTGCACATGCATGCATGTGTGTGTATTAAGGTGAAAGATAAAGATAAAGAATGGTTTGAATAGAAGCTACTTACAAATAAGCCAAGAATAGAGGACAAATCAAACTGATTAAAGATCCACCCACTTTTCTATATAAGAGCTACTTTTATGTTTGTATTTTTTTCAATGTAGATCAGTGTGTGTGTGCTGGGAGCCAAAGAAAAGTTACTTCCAAGTAGAGGTTTTGTGCCAAGTTCTCCCATGGGAATGAGAAGACTCTAAGAGCTCCTTGCTCTAATGACGCCATCAGCCCCCTCATTTTTTTCTTTGCTGTCTTTACTATGCACCTGCAAGTCAGTCACATTCTCTTTGTACATTGCCAGTATGGGGTGATGAATGCTCAAAGAAAACACATCATTTTCCACATGATCCATTACTATACTCTCTATGCCCCTCATTCAGTTCTCCTTCTCAGCAGGGAGACCCAGGCTGGGTCTCAGTACTAAACTCATAGGTAACAAGTTTCTGATGAAGATATGAGACTATTGGTTGAATACCATGGTAATAACATTAATAATAGGTGCAGGATGAGTTCTTTATCACAGAAAGCCAGTGTGAACAAGCAACTTATCCACTAATGGTTAATCCTGAGCTAGCAAAAATGAGGTAATTGTTCTACCCCAATGTGAGTAGTTCTGGATTTCCTTACACTAACTGTCCTGTGAACTTTGGTAGCAATTGTGACATTATAAGTTCTAGATCGATGGGGATATCTATTATCCCTAATAGTGTAACCAAGAGACTACTGGTTCATTCAAATCATTGTCTCATTTTGAAGCTTTTCCAGTGAGTTTAAATAACAGAAACAATTACTTAAGTTTTTAATTCAATTATAAAGACTTTACCATAAGCTCCTTGCCAGTCTGAATCTCAATGAAATTGGCTGAGATACTTTGGTGCATCTGCCTGGTGCGCAGGGTATAGGTGGCATCTTCAGGATCCTTCACCAAATTACGTCTCCAAAGATAAAACTTTTTGCTTCCCACTTTATGTACTCACTAGATCCAGTAACTTTATCCATCCATGACCCTGCAATGCTTCATTGCCTTCATCTATCTCACAAAACAGTGAAGCATAAGTTATTAAATATTTACATTTCATACCCCATGATAGAGTTAGGATATTTGTCTGTGCCTAAATCTCATGTTGAAATGTAATCCCCAGTGTTGGAGGTGGGTCCTGGTGGGAGGTGTCTGGATCATGCCCCCGAATGCCCCTGAATGGCTTGAGCTATTCCCTTGGTAATAACCGAGCTTTCACTCTGAGTTCACATGAGATCTGATTGTTGTAAAGTGTGCCCCCCATACTCTCTCCCTTGTTCCTGCTTTTGCCATGTGATGCGCTTGTTCCCCCTTTGCCTTCTGCCATGATTGTAAGCTTCCTGAGGCCTCCCCAGAAGCTGAGCAGATGTTGGCACCATACTTCCTGTAAAACATACAGAACCGTGAGCCAATTAAACCTATTTTCTTAAGAATTACCCAGCCTCTGGTGTTTATAGCAAGGCAAGAATGGCCTAATACACCCTAAATTGTCAGCCAGCTTTTATATTTCTCATTTTCCATAAATCCACAGATTCTGGATTGATGTTTTATAAGCAACCTTAAACCAGGAACATCCTGCTAAGAGTATTTCATAGATAAGGTATCTTTTTCTTCTAATACTATTAGTTCATTTACGAGGAGGTTTAGTCATTATCTTTTCACAAGGAAATTACACCAAATTCCCTGCTCCACATCATTCCAGCAACACCCCCATTTCTGTTTCCTCAGAAAGTAAGTGAATGGATTATAGGCCAGCTACTTTAACTCTTTTTCTCTCCAGTATTAAAAGAGATCATTTAACTGAAGGCACTTTTTTGTTGTTTTTGATCTTTTTGTTGTTTTGTTGTTGTTTTGTTGTTGATCTTTGTTTTAATTTAAGATTTTCTTTTTTTACAAAGGGGAAACAGTTTATTTTCCTCTTATTTTTATAAAAACATTACCTACTCATTGTAAAATATCCAAGCCATACAAAAAGGTATAAAGAAGAAAAAAATCTTCTGAAATTTCACTATGCAGTGTTAAACCCTAGGTATGTAGGTTTTCCTCTCTCCATCCTATCCTCCCTCCCTTCCTATTATCTATATATCTATTTATCTATCTATCATATTTATCTAAAAATGTCAATAGATACACATGCATGGGGAAAAAAACATAATATTAGAGAATGACATAAAACAAAAAGCAAAGTTCCCTTCTCTGTTCTTTTGCATTCCTAAACAAGTTTTCCAGAGGTTAAATGTTTGTTTTCTCATTCAATTATTTACATAGATAACTCCAAATAACATGATTTTACTGATATTTTCTTGGTTTATCAACTTGAATATCATTGGTTGACTCTCAGCTATAGAGAGTAAAGATTTAGTTCACTCATTTACTTCCTATATCTTTTTCCTTCCTATAGTTTTAATAATTATATTACTATTTTGATTTCTATTTGTTACTTTCTAGCTTTAAATATTTTATATATATTTTCAGATTTTTTTCTTTTTTTCATTATTACAGTTTAAGTTCTGAGATACACATGCAGAACATGCAGGTTTGCTACATAGGTATATACGTGCCATGGTGCTTTGCTGCACCCATCAACCCGTCATCTGCATTAGGTATTTCTTTGAATAGTATCATATACTATACAAACCCTGGTATAGTTATAAAATAAAATATTGTTAATTAAGCCAATCCATGGGAATGGTAAAGATCGAATTGACTTCCAAAGTATGGATCAGATAAGACAAAATAATATGTAATTCTGCTTCTGTTTTCTGTAAGTCAGTAGTGGCATTGGTTCAGTTTTTCTCTTAAGCCTCCTCAGGAAAGAAGTACTCTGGGAGAATCCCTCTACATAAAACAGGAGAGATTAAGAGCTTTCTGAGTTTGCTGATGATTATTGTGATTGGGTAATTAGCACCAGAGAGGAAAGAATTACAGTATAAATAATGCTAACAATGAAAAGTAGCTAGACACCACTTGAATGAAGAACAGGACTTACAAGGCTTAGATGGGCAGCTACATGAGTCTAAGAGGAAAAAGATCTTAGAATCATAGTGGAGATCAGTTTAACAAAATAAAATCAGAAAAAAATATAAAAAGCATTAAAAATTCCATGAGACTTTGCATAAGTCTACTGTAAGGTTTTAAGAAGGAGTTTACCAACCCCATGGGAAACAAGAAAATAAAAAAGGAAGCAGTTTGATGCATTTTTGGGAAAGGCAAATATGAAATGAAAACTGATACAAAGAATGAAAGCGTTTGTAAAACTATACCCATGAGAAACTAGGAATACTAAAAACAAATAAAGAAGAGAAGACTTAATGACTTCTAAGATAATAATATATGTTATGATTATTAGAATTTACACAACTCCAGAGAGAACAGAGCCTAAGAAGTATCTTGAGAGGTTTAAAGAATAATGGGTGATAAAATCATTCTTAAGGGGAGATGTAGTTAAATACTAGAATGATAATATCATAGACTCTGCTTCAATGACACCATTATAAAGTCGATTAAAATTCATGTGCCATAATAGGAAGATCCTAAAATGAGACAGAAATAAACTATAAGTTCTCTCCTATTCTTATAACTTCATAATAATATCCCATGGAATTACTAGTAAACTTCAATTTTAATGCTCATTAAATATAGGATACATTTTAATGTGTAATAACAGGCTTATGTATTTGGCCATTTATAATATTTGCTTTGTCAAAACTAACTAAAATGGCAACAGATTTACTCTCTTAAACTCACTGTTTCAATGTTATAAAAAGTCTTTTTTATTAATTGAATTCCATCCTTTAAATGCTGTAAATGTCCAGCTAAAAATGCCTCTGTAAAGGTTAAGTATGCTGGCCAGGTGCCATGGCTCACGCCTGTAATCCCAGCACTTTGGGAGGCCCAGGCAGGCAGATCACTTGAGGTTAGGAGTTTGAGAACAGCCTGGCTAACATGGTGAAAACCTGTCTCTACAAAAAAATACAAAAATTAGCTGGGTGTGGTGGTGGGCACCTGTAACCCCAGCTACTGGGGAGGCTGAGGCAGGAGAATTGCTTGAGCCTGGGAGGCAGAGGTTGCAGTGAGCTCAGATAGCGCAACTGTGCTCCAGCCTGGGTGACAGAGAGAGACTCCATGTCAAAAAAAAAAAGAGAGAGAGAAAAGAAAAAAGTTATGCTTAATGTTACAGATAAACTTTAATGTGAATAAAATATAAAAATTTACTTAAATGGTTACATCATTATTTCAAAAAATGTATTATGTCAATGATGTTGGAAGCACTTAACAATTCAAAATAATTGTTCTGTATTTAATGGTTATAAATGTTTTATGCTGTATAATTAAGTTTAATTTAGTATGTAAATGTTATTACTGAAATATTCTTTGGTACTCGAAATGAATTTAAGTAGGTGTTCATATTCTGTGGAATATTCTAATATTAGATATTTTTTGAATTAAAGAGTTTATTTCCAAAGGATGGCTCCCCATAAGTGAGTTTGCATCTGTTCAGTTTGACACTAAATGGAAAGGTTTAATTCAGAGCAGGATCATTCCTTGTGTTTAGATAATTAGGTGAGAACAAGATAAAATTTTGTAAGGTGTAGCTTTCACAAAATAAGATCTATTAATAAAGAAAGTAGGCGATTGTTCTATGCAGATAATAGACACAATGTGTTTTTATGTATCCTCTTTTTTAGTATTAAAATCCCATTCAACATGTGATTATAGAGCTATGAGACTATAAAAATAAGTACTGAAATACCATTCAGAAAATTCACCTTGATAAGCCTATTCTAACCATGCTTCCATGACATGAAATATTTTGGCAACTCCAATTTAGGAACTGTTTTCAGAGACCGGATATGACTCATAAAAGAAAAACAGCCTCATTGCTTTATATTCACACTTTGCAAAGAAAAAGGGATAACATTTTTCTGTACAGAGTAGATATTATGGGGCAAGCTGAGAAATCATTCCACAAACTAAATTCAAAACAAGCACTAAAAATTAGTCATCTTCCAAGGTAACACCAGTTAGAAATGAGCCTCAGAGTGAGGAATGATGTAATGAAATGGATAGCTGGTCAAGATGATTTTAAAAATCTCCTCCAACCTTAAGATTGTTATTTTTCCTGATCCAGGATTCTGTCAAACTCCACCATACATATCAGTTATTCCTCCTCTGTAGATGCTTATGTACAAGTCACTATCATCCTTCTGCCACATACACATGGTCCAGAGTAAAATCACTGCTTTAAAGTAAAACAACATTAACTTTCTGGTATGTGTGTATGCAGGTGTGCACACAAGTGGTTGGACTAACATTATTCTCTGACTGACCTCACGTGGAGTCAGCACAGATCAAGATGGAGAAATGAGTCTAAAGAAAACTTGCACAAAGAAACCACTGGGATATTTAGGGGAGGATTGCAAGCATATGTCCTATGTACTAAATGCACAACATTCTATACTCCATTTAGCAGAAAATACACTCTTCTTTAGTGTGATATACACTCTTGGGGCTTTTTCCGTTTTAGTTCACAACCTACATTATCCTCCACACAGATTATTTTATATCAACATTCTTCAAATATCAATGATTTCTATGCCTTTTTATTTAAAAACACCACATATAGCAAGATATTAAAAACTAATATTTTATGTTCTATTAAGAGAGCTAAAATCTATTGTAACATTTTCCTGGCAAATGCAACTGCCATTACTGTTTTTCTAAAGTGATACATCAGATTGTTTAACATATCATTAGTCCCAATATAAAAGAGGGAGAAATTTTTGTAGTTAGGCAATTTTTGTACCTTGTTTCTTGTGTCTAAAAATTCCATTTGCAAGTGTACAAAATTCTACTGAACAAGTATAATCAGTACAGATAATATCATCACTATAAACCAAGCCAAGTATACAAAGTACAAAACAACATGAGGTAAGATTGCCAGGTTTTTAATTTGTCTTTTCCAAGTAACAACATTGCTAATGCTTACCATACATTATCAAAGGTTGGTACTGCTAGGTCCCGCTGCGTTAAACATTTATAAATTTATTATTTGGTTCTTCAAACATTCGTTTGTATTTTTTTACCTGAAATTATTATGCATTTAGCTTTTATTCATTTCAAAAAATTCTACTGCATTAGGTCTTCAAAGGGATTTCCAAAGTGTTCAATTACTTCTAACTGTGGCTTTTTTCTGGCTTTTTTTTTTTTTTTTTTGGAATAAAGCCAGGTTCCCAGTCTTTGCACTTTTACTCTTACTCTCTTAATCCACTTGTTCCAGGGCTTGTGAAAAGGGGTTTTCTTTCATGACTTCCCCAACAGTGAGGGTTCCTTTCTAGCTTTAAAAAATTCAAGCTTAAAAAAATTTCAACTGGCATCTTTATAATGCTGTAGCTTTTGCTCAGTGAGGAATCAAACCCTTTGAACAATGAATGCTTGTCTAAAGCAACTATTCATAGAAGTACTGCCTTCTGGGGAATGGGAAAAGTTTTTACCTACTGACAAACGGGAGTAGCATAACAGAATAGAACTGCACCCAACGCAAAGTGCCTTGTGTTTTCAGCTCTGAAATAAGGAGATCAGTTACCGCCCGTCTGCTATTGACCCGTTATAAAAAGTAGAGTGCTGAAGAATATCAAACAAGATCAAGCAGCAGTCCAGATGAGATCATGTGTCTTCTTTTTAAATGTTTTGAATTTACAGATTTTAAAAATGTTTGGAGAGGCTGAAGGCTTGTCTACATGTGTGAATTACAACTTGATGACGGAGTTTTAGTGAGAGTCTAAGAGACAAAAAGGACAAATCTTGAGAAAATTGTCTAGTATATATAAATAGTTTTAGCACTTACTTCAAAAGTTAGTCTTATGTTATATCATTTAGGTATCAAAACTTCCTAAGTCCTCTGAAAAGAAGCCAAACCTCCTGATGTCTCTTATTGAGCTTTCTCCAACAGCAGGCTCCTATGCATATAAGATTGCTCTTCGTTCTGTGCTCACACTAATTTTCTGTAGCAAAAATTGTGGCACAGAATTTCCTTAATTCAGCATTTGGAAGCAATAGGTTTTAATCCAGCTTTAGGGAGTGGAGAGAGAGCAATTTAGAACTTTAAAAAAAATAAGTTTATAAAATCAACATGTATAAATGATGGCCATTACTACTGCTGATAATGTTGAGTTTCTTAGGAGTGGCAATAAAAGTGCCTTAGCAATTCAGTTTCTATATTTCTTTCTGTTTCTTTATTATTCAGTGCCTATGTCTGAAGCATGTAGCTTACTGGAGCTTTCTCTCCTCCCTCTGCATTCCAGAATTGTCTGGTTTTCCACACTTTAGCACTTCCTAATGTTAGATATAAAATAAAGAAGTAGACACTCAAACTGCAATATTTTACCACTCTTCTAGGTATTGAAGCATGAGAAAAATAAAAGGTTGATAGTAAAACATGAAATGTAGCTGTTTTCATCTATCCAACCTCTCTTTTATTATTATTATCCACAATTAAGAATTACATACAGATGTCCCTTAATTTCTGATGGGATTATGTCCCAATAAACCCTTTATAAATTGAAAATGTCATGATTTAAAAATGCATTTAAACAACTAACCTACCAAACATTCTAGCTTGCTTTGCCAGAACACTTTTATTAGCCTAGAGTAGGCAAAATCATCTAACACAATGCCTATTTTATAATAAAGTATTGGATATCTCATGTAAGTTATTGAACACTAACAGTGAAAACTAAAATTGTTGTGTGGGTACTTGCAGTACGGTTTCTACTGAATGCATGTGCCTTTATGCCATCTTAAATTTAAAAATCCCAAGTCAGACCATCGTTAAGTCAGAGAGTGTATATTGTAAATATGTAAGACATAATTATCGTATTCAGTGGTTCATTAGATGACTAATTTTAAAAGCTTAGGTTTTTTTTTTTATTTTTTCCTTTAAAGATGGAGTCTCGCTTTGTCATCCGGGCTGGATGTGGTGCGATCATAGCTCTGCCTACTCGAACTCCTGGGCTCAAGCGATCCTCCTGCTTCATCCTCGCAAGTACCTGGGACTACAGGCACATGCCACCACACCCAGCTGAGAGCTTATTTTGTTGGATACTAGGTATATTTGCTTATATTGAGATTGTGTTTTCTTCTTCACTACTAATACCCTGACTGAATTAGTGATAGTCATGGAAAAAGGTCTTGTAACTTCCTGCATGTTTTATTGATCATGAGCAGTCTAGTATAAGTTACATAAACAATTAATAAAAGAAAACTAAAAGCAGATATGCCTGTTTGTAGTACTGATTCTCCACCTGCCATTTTAATGCCCTTGGCAAAAGAAAAATGTTTCTAGATCTCATATGTATGACTTTGCCATAGAGACTAACCAGATTCTATTTGTCTTTTTCTACCCCACTCAATGGGAAATAAGGATATGTGGGTATTTGAAAAGTTGAAAGCAGATATTGATCATTATTTTAGTCTTAGACAAGATAGAGTCCAAGGCAGAAAGCATTAAATTAGATACAAATTGTCATTTTATGCAGAAAAAGAGAATATATAACGAAGGTATAACAAGCATGAAACTTCAAGTAGCAGCAGAAACTCAACATATCTAAAATATAAATTCTTTTTTAAAAGTAGAACTTAAGCTAGATAGAAATAGAAGAAGACTTCAAATGCAAGACTAAAATGCAAGACTTTGATATACTACTTCAAATATTATTTTGATATTTTGATAAATTGTTTCAACATAGAAGACAAATAATAAATTATATTAGAAATAGAATAACTGTACACTAAACTTTATGTAATAGAGTGGTAAATTTCTTTTCAAATGTCTAGAGTCCGGCCAGGGTCAGTGGCTCACACCTTTAATCCCAGCACTGTGGGAGGCCAAGGCAGGCAGATCACTTGAGGCCTGGAGTTTGAGACTATCCTGGCCAACATGGCAGAACCCTATCTCTAGGAAAAAAAAAAAAAAAGAAAAAGAAATAGAAAACAAAAACAAAAACGAAAACAAAAAACAATTATCTATAGTCTGTGTAACTGAAAACAGACCACACCATAAAGAAACAACCGGTACAACAAACCCCCATGATGCATGTTTACCTAGGTAACAAGCCTGCACATTTACCCTTGAACAATAAAGTTAAAAAAAAAGGAAAAAAAGAGAAGATTTTTTTAAAATCTAAATAAATTACCAAAGCAGATATTGCATATACTAAATATAATCTTTGACAAAGATACACTAAAATTTGAAATTAACTTAATGGTTTTCAAACAGGAAAAACGTAAAGAAAAAAAACAAACCCCAAACAGCCATTAACTCGAGATTTAAATTATTATCCTAGTTATTGGGTCAAATAAAAATTAAAAGTATAGTCACATGTATTCATAAATTACTGAGCAGAAGGATGCTGCACATCAAAATTATATCACATCACTAAAGCTATATGCAAAGGCAAATGTGTAACATTAAATGTTTTCATTATTAAATAAGAATGAAAAATCAATGCACTAAGCAGACCACTCATAATTTATAAATCAATTAATCAGAAGGAAAAATACAGTATTAAATAAGAGCAGAATTTAATGAATTTGGAAATATTAAACAATATCTTCGTATTTTTCCTGTTTGTTGGTATAACCAATAAAACAATGTATTTCATTACTAAATCAAGGGGCATAATTATTGATATAATGAAAATTAATTTAAAGAATCCTTGGAAATCTAATGAAGAAAAGGAAATCACAAACACAAAATCAGAAAGGATAAAAATGAAAATGACCACTAATATTTCTTTAGTATGTAATATGTGTCAGGCACTCTTATAAGAACATTACCTATATTATTACATTTAATGCTCACTTTTAAACCTTGTGATATATGCACTATTTTTTTCTCGCTCTTTCAGACATATGAAGTACTGAAATACAAAGGGATTAGGACTGCAAACAAGTTTATAAGGTAATATGTGGTTAGGGCTCTTCCATGTGCTGATATCAATATTTCTGCCTAAACTTCCAACTTCAAGTATGCTGGATTGTTTCACATTTGAATCTATCTGCTACATTGCATTATGATATTCATTGTATTCATGTTTTATATCCTTTGTTTTTAATTTTAATGGTCATGTGTGTTTCCCTTTTATTTAGACTGTAAATCCTTTAAGTGCAGAAGGATTTTTCTTTTCTTTTATCTTTGTAGTCAAAAGGTTTAGCAGAGTGTTTGGATCATAATAGTTACTCAAAAATTGCTGACTTAAATACATGAATGAGTGAATAAATGAATTCTATAGAGCATATTTCACATTACACACTAGCATGTGGACTTGGTCTTGGGGTAAAAGTGCCCAATACTACAGTAAACAGCTGTCATACTGTATGGTCCATAAGGACCAACCTATATCTATCTCTTTCATTTTTGTTATAACCCCAGCACTGGGCACAATACCCAGCTCAGAGTAAAGACTTAGTAAAGAAGAGTTGATTGAAGGAGTGAATGGATCTGTCCCCTCATCTTGACTTAAAAGGACAAAATCCCTGGGCCAAAAACACCTTAAGAAATATGGTCATTTGATGAAACTGACCTTGAAACAGTGGAAGATTTAGTTTTCTTGTCATCTCACTCACCACAACAACACTCTATTGCAACACCTTATGACATCCTGTGCTTTATTTAGCAAGATTAAACAGATCCAAAAATTAGAAGTATGTGTGATTTACCTGATTTATTTATTTTATATCTCATATAGTATTATGTTCACAAATATAATTTCACAATTTCCCTAAACCAAAAATTTAATACTATAAATAAATATTATATACAATTTATCTGACTAGTTTAGCCAAGCAAATACCGAATAGCTTTCCATAAGAACCTTGCAAAATTGCTAAAAAACATATAACACATGATATTTTGGCCAGTGCTGCAATGATTATTTATTTAAATATGTTTGTTAATAAATTTATTTATTTATTTAGAGATGGAGTCTCGCTCTGTTGCCCAGGCTGGAGTGGAGTGGTGCGATCTCGGCTCACTGCAAACTACGCCTCCCGGGTTCACACCATTCTCCTGCCTCAGCCTCCCAAGTAGCTGGGACTATAGGTGCTTGCCACCATGCCCGGCTAACTTTTTTGTATTTTTAGTAGAGACGGGTTTTCACCGTGCTAGCCAGGAGGGTCTCCATCTCCTGACCTCATAATCCACCTGCCTCGGCCTCCCAAAGTGCTGGGATTACAGGCATGAGCCACTGCACCAGGCCTATAAATTTATTTTCTTAAGTTTGAATGGTTCAGGCTCAGGTTCAGTTGTTGGAGTTTTTTTTCATTGAAAATAGAAAGACTTCCTTCTTCCATTTAATGTAGTCATAGTTCTAATAGTATTTTGGATACAATAGATTTAAAGTTTCTAAATTACAAAAGTAAGTGAAATGACCAAATGAACTAAAAAATGCCTTGCTTTAATGCTTCTTAGACATGTAAAATCCTAAAAATCTAAAATAACCCTGAAGAATAAGTATAAAATTATTTAATTTTATTGTGATGAAAATACGAATTATTTTGACATCTTTCTCAGTAGACCAGGATAAAGGTTTGCTAATTAGTCTGATTCAGTACTTGCATTAAAAATAATTTTAAAATTACTTTCCTTTTGGTATATTTTCAGTGATGATTGGGCTTTGTGGTGTGCATGGCTGGATGGTGATTGAATGAAGACAAAAAAAAACAGTAAGGTGAAGACACAATATTATTTTCAAGACTTTATTTTTATATTTTAAATGTTTTGACCTTATTAAATATTTACTTGCTTTCTAAGCTTTCCCTTCTATTCTTCTCTCCACACCACCTTCATGAAGAAAAGTTGACAAATTTTTTTTTCAGATTTTTTTTCTTAATGTTTCAAAAAGTATCTTGATTAGTAAAATAGCCAAAAAACTAGAAACTTTTAATTATAGTGTAGTCATTTCCCCAACATCTTTCTGGCACTTGACATCTGAGTATCTGTAGTGAAGCCAAGTTAGTTCCATTGGAAAATTCTCTGATGTTCTCCTTCCTAATCCTATTTTCTTTGAGCCACAACCTGGCCAGGTTAGGGAGCACATGAGATTTGGCTTTCCAACTTTCTATTTCTTTCTGCCTTGACTTAATCAATTGGGAGTTGAGGAAAATAAACTGTGCTTAATGAATAACAGAAATTGCTAAATACTTGGAACCTTGTGATGCATTTTCCAAGAAGCTATGGGGTGAAAGAATTAGGGAATAAAATGCAGGGAACTCAGCAGAGAATAAATATCATGGAAAGAAAGAGTGACAATATTGGCCAGACATTTCAGTTCTTTTTAGTAACACTTTCTGATATGGTTTGACTGTGTCACCACTCAAATGTCACCTGGAATTATAATTTCCATAATCCCTACCTGTTGTGGAAGGGACTCAGTGAGAAGTAATTGAGTCTTGGGGGCAGTTACCCACATGCTGCTCTTGTCATGATAGTGAGTGAGTTCTCATGAGATCTGATGGTTTTATAAGGGGTTTTCCCCCTTTTGCTCAGCACTTCTCCTTCCTTCCATCATGTGAAGAAGGATGTGCTTGCTTCCCCTTCCACCATGATTGTAAGTTTCCTGAGGCCTCCCCAGCCATGCAGAACTGTGAATCAATTAAACCTCTTTTCTATATAAATGACCCAGGCTTGGGTATTTCTTCATAGCAGCTTAAGAAGGAACTAATATACTTCCCAATCCAACCACAATTCTCAAAGATTGTGGAAAACCAGCAGTCCTTTTTCAGAGACATCAAGTGGGTCTGGATGCTTGCTCTTTACCACCAGAATTCTAATCCAAGGAATTAGATTCCTTGTATTTAATCATGTATTTAATATGTAATATTTTATTATATTTACTCATGTATTTAATATATAATATTGGTTTGCAAATCATGTATTTAATCACATATTTAATATATAATATTGATTTGCAAATTTCCAGTTTACCAATTTTACTATTATTTTATAGTTTTATTTATTACTAATTTTTTTTAGAGATGGGATCTTGCTCTGTTGCCAAGGCTGGAGTGCAGTGGCAGAATCTCAGCTTACTGCAATCTTGACTTCCTGGGCTCAAACAATCCTCCCACCTCTGTCTCTTGAGTAGCTGGGAGCACAGGCACACACCACCATGCCCAGCAAATTTTCTTCATTTTTTTTTAGAGTTGGGGTCTCACTATGTTGTCCAAGCTGGTTTTGAACTCTTGGCTTCAAGCAATCCTCTCACCTCAGCCTCTAAATGCTGAGATTATGGATGTAAACCACCATGCCTGGCCTATTTTATTGTTTTCAAAAAGAATTTCAAGTCAGTCATGTAACAGTATCTATATTATCAAGAATCAAGTTTTTAAAAATCCTTTATTACTATTTCATAGGGTAAAAATGAAAAAGAGACATGATAATCTAGTGCCCTATAAAAGCATGCCCCACAAAGGCCAGGTATGTAAATTAGGTATAATATATAGTATATAATGTAACCTAAAATAATGTTTAGCCATTTTTTTTCAGAGCTGAGAATTGGCAATATTTACTACTCATTTTTTTCACATTCCACGTGGAATTTAATCTCTTCACATTGGAGAATCCAAAAATTTATCTGAAGAAATTGCCCCAATACACACACACACACACACAGAGAGAGAGAGAGACATGATCCACGCCACAAATGCCTGGACAATATATGCACACATCACTCAGTTGATCTGAAATAGCAATGAGGTCTTACATTATTAAGTGTTTTTATTACCATATAATGTGTTACGTTAAGTAATTAGAAGTAGTTGTCAAAATAAATTAAGTAAACTGCATTGTAATGTAAAAAGAAAAAGAAAAAGAGACTTGACAGCTACATATCCCTGCATCATCCATAAATGAATTAAAAGACTCTGAGGTAATCTTTCTAAGCAGTTTCTTACTGAGATTAACATTAAAAAATAATCTGTATAATTAAAATGCAATCATAGGATATCTCTGAGATCAATGCTACTTAAAGTGTGGTATGTAAACTATTTATTTCCAAGTCCCATTGAGATTAGTTCAGAAAGAGAGGATAGGCATTTAAATACTTTTAAAGCAATTTGACAAGAGCAAGATATCCAACTGTGTGGTTTTGTATTTCACAAAAATATCAGTTGGTAATGAATTGAGAGGAAAACAACTCTTCTGTTAGAATCGCTTGAAAAGCACTGGGTTAGATAATGAAGAGAGCAGTTGCTCATGACTGAAAAACTAAACTACAAACTAAACAGGCATTGCATTTTTAATTAAATGGAATGATGGTAAACAGAACCCTATTTCTGTTCAAAATTTTTAAAATGGTGATTTTAACATCTTAAACTATTGAATTTTAACTCAAATTAGGTTGGGGTAAACACAGAGACAGACTGATGGGTGTGTGACCTGTGCATTCACACAGGTCCCTGCTCTCAGAAGGGTCCTACACTTCATTAAATACTCTGCTGCTGCCATCTTGAAATTCTTAATAACTATATCTTTTAAAGTGTGTTTTGAAATCTAGTGTGGTGATGGAGCATGCATATGAGCAGAGGAGAGATGTGAAATGAACATAGGCACCCATTCCTTGCAACCCTGTTTGCACATGGCCTTCGAGATGCCTTGTGAGCAGAGAATTCTGGTAGACCCACTTCTACAAAGTGGGTTATTTTATTTTTCAGTTTTCTAATTTTTAAGATGAGGATTATATCTGCCCTGTAGAATGATTATGAGGAATAAATGACAGATAGCATATTTTACGCTGCCTGACACATAGTAACTATTTAGTCCACGTTAGCTAATCCCATATATCACGAACTTCACCCTTTCATTATCATCTTGTTATAATTATTCCAAATTTCTTGTTCTCTCTTTTCTGTGAATGAAAATAACAGAGATGCTCAAAACACAAAAGAAATAATTAAGATAAGCAAAACAGAGTCTAAAGAGGAGGAAAAGTCAAAACTATTGTCCAATTTGTATTTCTCACTCCAGACGCTGTAAATTTTGGGGCCAACATGGGAGTCTGGTAGATCTCTCATTTATTCTCATGCTAATACAAATGGATGAGTATTAAAACCAACCACCTCTTTTCAAACCTCTCTCTGATAGTTTACCTTGGCCCTCGCCTTTGAAACAGGATGGCCTCATAGGAGATGTGGAAGATGTAAGAAAGAGTTGTTTACCCACTCAAGAAGGACAGGACTAAGATATACTTCCTTTATTAGAAAGAGATGTGTAAATTGTGTATAAATGTTTTTAGTCTTCTATTTAAACACTGAATTTTATCAGTGAGCAGCATGTGTTTTGGCATTTTGATGATTGACATGCCAGGAGACTGAATGTTGCTAGCTTGCATAATTCTTAGAAAGAGACTCCAGAAAAGCAGCCTGAGAACTAAGGATTCCAGAGGACAGCACCCAGAAGGCTACAACCTTGGAAGGAAGAGATGATTTGATGACTCTATGTCCGCCTCTTCTTCCTATCCATTACTTTCTGACTTAGACCAATCAAACCCTTACTTCAAGAGGATCCATTCCATAATTTTCCCTTGTCTTTTCATATTTATAAGTAGTATTTATTTAATATGTGTCAGGCACTATTCAAATAATTTTACATGTAGGAACTCACAACAAAACTATGAAGAAAACATTTTTATTATTATAACTATCCCAGAAGAAAGGAGAGTGAAGCACAGTGAGAGTAAATAATTTCCTGAAGGTTACCCAAGTAGAAGGTAGTAGAATCAGGATTCAAATGCAGACAAGCTGACTATAGCATTCCTGCTCTTCCACACCTGGTTTTACTGCAGATGCACCACTCAGGAAAATCAGACTTTGAATCAGTTCCAATTGTACTTGGTCAGTTCCCCCCCTCTCATTTCCCACAACTGGCACTTAGGACGTGTCCAGGAACATTTGATGAATCAGTGAGCACATGCTAATCAAAGCATCCACTGCCGATCTCTTTTCTTCGCTTCCGTTCCATGAGAATACACTCATCTCCTCCCAGATGTAGCATTAAGTATCATAGGAACTTAAATCAATATGACAATATGAATTCACTCTCCATTATTCTCTCCTTCTAGCCCCAACTTCATGAATGGGAGTACCATTTATCCTTTTGTCCAATTTGGAAACCTTGCTTCTCTTTGTCAATCCTTCCTTACATCTTACACAGGAAAGTTCTCTTCTCAAGCTCAAGCTACAAACACTTCCCATTGAGTAACAGTGGTAGGCATGTAATGATTTCCAATGTTACTGCTCATTTTCATCAAATTTATCTCCCTAGCACTTATCATTCCACTTACCCACTCTGACAGGCAGAATGAACCTCCCCATCCCCCAGAAGATGTCTGGGTGGGAATCCCTGAAAGCTGTGAATATGTTACCTTATATGGCTAAAGAGACTTTGCAGATATGATTAAGTTAAAAACCTTAAGATCAAGTGATATCCTGGATTTTCTGGAGGGCCCAATATAATCACATGGGTCTCTAAAAATAGAGACCCTTTACTTGCTGTGGTCAGAGGAACGTATCTATAGAAGAAGGGTCAGGGCAATGAAACTTGCTGACTTTGAAAAATGGAGGAAGAACCATGAGCCAAAGAATGCAGGCAGCGTCTAGAAGATAGAAAAGTCAAGGAAACAAATTTTCCTCAAAAGCTTCTAGAAAGAGATATAACTCTGCTAACATCTTGATTTATCCCAGTAAGACCTGAGTTGGACTTCTGACTTAGATAACTGTAAGATAATAAGCTTACCTTGCTTTAAGCTACCAAGTTTCTGGCAATTTGTTATAGCAGGAATAGAAAACTAATACATCCTCTACAAATCATCTACTGATGCCCTAGAGATTTCAGGAAATCTTTCTTAATTCTTGTTGCCTGTCTTAAGTCATCTTATATTTTCTCACATATTACCTATGTTTGTTTTTGTTTTTCTATCGTAACCCTTGTTTTATTCTTATAGTGGTGTCAGGGGCTAGAGTAGGGAAGGCAGGGAGGATGGAGGAGAGTGAGGCTCCTGCCATCTGTAATTGAGAAATGCATTTCCTTTCTGAAACTAAAATCACAAAGTACATATACAATGAATGTAATTAACTATCTCAGGAACAAAACCAAAATTTTGGTTTTTAAGTGTATGAAGTAAGATTTGTGAAATATCCACAGTTCTTATTGAAGTAATTTGTTAGCAATCTCAAGAAGAAAGAAATAAGATTGCAACTCAGAAAACAGAAATTGTAACAATTGTACTTTATTTCAGGAAAAAGAAAACTATTTTGTAACTAAATGTATACCTAGAAGCAGAGGCAAATGTCCTGTGAAGCCAATGAAGCTTAAATATAGCTATTTTCGTGGCTTCTGAGAGAGGCCTGAGAGGGTCACACATACTTATAAAATTTGCATAACTGAGGCATTTCTACTATAATTGGATAACACTACTGGTTCTTACCATTTCTCCATAACATTTTCATTTCCATTCGGTGACACTGTGAGGACATGTTGTATTTGTAATTTCCTATTCTTCAATGGGGCTCCAAACCATATGAGCTTCAGGTCATATAAAACTTGGGTTCTGCTCTGTTTAATGAAAAGTGAAGACCAAATAGAGCTTGGATTTGCCATTTAAGCATGGTAGAAAGGAGAAAGTGTACAGTTTCAGAGATAAAGTTTTCTAGTCACTAGGGTGTATTGCATTATTAAGGAGATGTTCTTTTGGTTGCCACTAAACTCAAAATACATGATTAATTTCTGTCACTCTGATAATTTTTTCAAATGTAGCATTCCTTTAGAGGAAAGCACAATAATCTGCTGACAACACTTCCCAGATTGAATAAAAATGGTCTTTTCCACTGTAAAATAATATTTTGGAATTTTGGAACAGATGTACATATATGATAGATAAAACATATATCTTCATTAATCACTTGCCATGTTGCCAGAATTTGTGGGGAGCAGCAGTGAAGAAGATGGGCTCTCTTCTCTTACAAAGCTTGTATGTTCACATGTGGGAAGGGGCATGAAATACACAAGTTAACAAATAAGTGAAGAAAATCATTGTCCATAGAGTTAGGGTGTAGGTCTTCAGGATGGGTGGTAAGTCCAAGCTTCTTTGAAGCAATGGCATTTGAGTAGAAACTTAGAAAGGAAGGAGCCTTTCCTGCAGAGATATCTGAATGGACAGTTTAAGGCAGAGGGAGCAACAAGTTCCAAAAACCTTAGAGTCATGTTAAATGGAGTTGTAGGTTAATATTTTTCAAATTGGTCTGTGATCAATTTGTTGGCCTTGAAATCAATTCAGTGACATGCAACAATTTTCTTAAATGAAATAGAACAGAAAAGAATAAGAAAAATCAAAGTGCATTGCATACGTTCAGAAAATAATTTTCATAAAATGATTGCTTCAGGGGTGTGTGTGTGTGTGTGTGTGTGCATATCTGTGTACTGGGTCATGGTATATAAACATTATTTCCCCTTTTGGGTCCTAGTTAAAAAAAAAAAACAACTTTGAAAGACACTGCTGTAGAGCTTATCAAGGGATCTGAATACTATTCCACATGAAATAAGACACTGAAGGAATCTTTTAAGCCACATATATACATACAAAGAAAGAATGTGAGCTGCTCAAAAGCTGAATCTACTGATTTACTCTCATTTCTTTAGCAAGTTCAGATTGATGTATTTGGAAAGCTGAAAATTATACCCTACCTCATGGTGCATTTTATACCTGGGTGGCCTCTTTGAGGTTCAACTAGCTGTCCTCCTCCTCGAGGCACCCATACTGCATTAAGCTGCCTTAGGCAAACTGCAAAAAAGTACCCGCCAGGAATGGGCAAACTACGAAAGGAGATGCCTCCTCTGAAGTCTTGCAGCATGGTGATAACTTCCCCAGGGTGACCAGGCCACAAAGCTTGGCTTGCATCTCAAGCTGAGTTTCAGCCCCAGCTTTTCCCATCCAAGCACCCTTTTCTCTACAGGAACTACACAGTCACATGCAGGGGCTACTCCCCCACTTCCTCTGCTTTGTGCCTCACCAGTCAAATTTCAATAGTATTTGCTATCTTGGATGACAACTGCTTACTTGTCAGTCTTGGGATACTTAGGTAATTTAAACACTTAAAGTGTCTGGTTTAAAATTCATTTTTAATAAAGAGAGTCATTGAAAATTATCTAGGAATCAACAAAATGGTTATATTAGATGATAATGTCAGAAACTAGATGTATGTGGCACATGGAACAACATAAAACAAAATCTAGCTGGGATAGCATATGACAGTCTGGCCAAATTTTGTCTGGCACTTTCAGAGTTTCTCTTATTCCCTTATACTTCAACTTGCTTATTTCAGCTCTTGCTTTTCTCTAATACCCACTTTTCTTTCTTCTGGTCTGATTGTTGCTGGTTCTTTAGCTCCTGCTCTGACATTTCCACCAGTCATTTTAATCCAGCATTATTTGCCTTTGCTTTTCAATTCTCACCTCTTGGTTTGCCCCCTCAGTATAATGGCAGATCAATCAATTTGGCCCATCTTGTCCTGCTGAAGGATTCATCTGTGGCATGTTTAACTCCCTAAATCCTGACATTCTCCTGTTCAGTGAGCCTGGTCAATCTCCACCCCTTTCACTGTCACCCAAATTAGATTGACTCCCCATATTTTATCGAACTTTAGCAAATGAAATCAGTCACCTGGCATATCAAGCATTTTTAAATATTTATATGATGGGTAGAACATATAAGGCTGTATGTATCAGCAGTAATTAATGTTAAAATAAACAGTGTAAATTCACTTACACTAAGCCTGTCATCATTACTTAATTAAAATGATTAATTTATACAGTACTCTCATACCTAGCATAATAAAAGATTACTTAAAATTCATATGACTCATTGAATATGATAATTAGGGAATTAAAAAGAGTATTTATAAAAAATAATTTTTATTATGAAGACAGCACAGATTGTGACTCTAAATAATGTAATTTCAGCTGTGTTTAAATCAGGGGGAAAAAAAAGCACAGAATAAACTGTGGATCAAGATTCCAGTTTCTAGTCTAAGAGTTTCAATTATTACTGGTTTGCTGGTTTGGAGATTCTGTGTCAATACAGATATCAAATAATATAAGAAGAAAATAAGTTACATATTTGATTCAGCAGCACTGCTAGAAAATACAATTTGTTTATTTGTATGTTTTGTGTTTACTTTAGTTTATCAGGCATGGCAGAGCTTTTCAAAGGATATGGATTTTTGGAATATTTCCCCTCAAATCTGAGCAATTGTAAATGCAAATGGGTTTGCTATTTAGTTCTGTCTCTTTGTGCCAACAAAAGTTAAATGATTAAATTCTGAAATTTCAATGAAGAATCACAGTCAGGTTTAAGGACAATTATTTAGGTCATGCTATCTTTGCTCAAGGAATCACTCTTTCAATTTAGAGGCAAATTATAGGTAATGGAAAAATCACCCAGAATAAAGGCTTTCATTTGTACACATATGTATTAATTTTTTTGAATGTGGGACATGTACAAAAATTTTGTCAGTTATAATGCCTATGGTATTTTTGTTCTTTCATCTCACTCGCAACCACTTACCCAAATACACATGTAAATACAGTTACTGTTACATATATTTTAAATCAAGCATTACTTTTGAAAGTGTGACCCTGAGCCAAAGTGATGCTAAGGCCAACAAAATCAAATAAAGTCAAAGGCCACAAGATGGTTCAAGGTGGCTGAAACCTGAACTTGTAAAGACTAGCAACTGTTGATCAGATTTGATCTGATCAGATAGCAATGTGTTGGTTTTTAAAAGATTATTATTTTACTGATATTGATTTTCCTATGACTTATATGAATATAAGAGAGTCAAGTGTCAGAGGAGGCACCTTGGAGATGGTCTGACTTACGTCCTTCGAGATTACAAAAAGCCCCTGTGGGAGCATTCTTTCCAACTATTAAAAAATAATATGCTATTCAAAGAAGATTAATCATTCACAACAATTGTGCTCTTGAATAACTAATAATTATAATTTTGTTAATTTTCTTCAATGAGAAGTTAAATGTGTAAGACACTTAATAATGTACTTCTAGTATAAATCAACAGTTCTCAGATTTGGGGATTTTATAGACAGAAAATGTTCAAATAAAATAATATTGGCATTTTCCCAGTAAGAGCAGTAAAACAAACACAACCAACCAACCAAACAAATAAGTATGACTGCCATCTATTGTAACTATAACTTAACAAAAACAATGTCATTTGACATCAAATAATGTATAACAGTTATACCCTTAGAATAAACAACAATCGTCTGGGCGCGGTGGCTCACGCCTGTAATCCCAGCACTTTGGGACCCGAGGCGAGAGGATCACGAGGTCAGGAGATCAAGACCATCCTGGCTAACACGGTGAAACCCCGTCTCTACTAAAAATACAAAAAATTAGCCGGGCGTGGTGGTGGGCGCCTGTAGTCCCAGCTACTCGGGAGGCTGAGGCAGGAGAATGGCATGAACCCGGGAGGCGGAGCTTGCAGTGAGCCGAGATCGCGCCACCGCACTCCAGCCTGGGCGACAGAGTGAGACCAAAAAAAAGAATAAACGACAATCTTGTGAATTGATCAAATCTAAATTTATGTAATACTCACCACAGGTAAAATGTATTTTATTTTGCCACACTCATAAAAATTTAGTCAAGAAACCCATTGGTCCAGAGACTGATGGCAGATAACCACCATTATAGAAGCTTTTAAATGCTAAGTACATAGTTTATCGGCACAAAGGAAGCTTAATAAATTAAGTCTTAATAATTACCTGCTCTAAACTCTAATTTTCTTATGTGTGAAATGAACAGAATAATGGGAAGTATCTCACAGAGGTGTTGTGAGAATTCAATGGGTTAATACATCTATAAAACTCAATGGACTAATACACTTAAACCCAACGGGCTAATACAAGACCAAAAAAGGAGGGTTTGGGGCTTCATTGTATCTAAGATTTGATTCATCTCTAGAATATCCATCTTTCAAGTCTACATTAAATAACTAAAAAAAACAGCTGTAAAATATTGATCTCTAGTTTATAATATGCATGCTGGAGTATACAGGGGAAGTGTACTGCAATTTACTATGCATAATAAACGAATTTACAGGAATAATTAGATGTATATTCCAGCACAGAACAAATGTAATATAATGGTAGTTACAGAATTTAGGTAGTGGGCACATTTTAAATTCTTTTAAATTCTCCATGTGTTTTAAATTTTTAATAATAAAATTGAAAAACTGGAAAACTATCTGCTACTTGTTCACCAAGAAAAAACAATAGTTAAAATACGAAGCAACAAGATGCAGACATTGTTTCTAACACTTATCTGGGAATTCCCTTAGTTATATTTAAGGTTAGGGTTTCTGATACTTGCCTCCATGTCCATAGTTGCTGGTTGTGATGATGCCCCTATAGACATAACCATGCCTGCCCAGAGGCTGTGGGAGGCTCTGGTGACTGCAGGCACAGCTTGGCATCCAGTTCTCACTGACCTGACCAGGATGAACCTAGGGATGTCGGGATGGTGGGGGAGTGAACTGAGCAGAGAGTCTGGAAATAACTGAAAGTTATAGGATGGTTTCTATTCCAGAGGCAAGTACTTGAAAATAACATTGGTACAATTTGATGATAAAGTTCAGGAGAAAAGCATCATTAGTTGCAAAAACATGAGAGAGAACAAAAATGTGCTGACTACATAACTTACTACAAATAATAATTGTAATTCTCTTATTTCTGTATTAGAACAATAACAGAAAAAACACTACCCTTCAATAATATTTTTCCATAAAAGGTTTAGGCCGTAACAAGAGGAGACTCATCGGGATTAACAGGAGGCAGAAATGGTGACTGTAGATATATCAACAGATTGTTTAATGTCCTAAATAGAAATTCAACAAGGGAAAATAAAAACACTTAGATCAAAGAATTTTGGAGCTGGAAATGCCCTTAGACATATGCTTTTATGAAGGAAAAACTAGTGTCCAGAACAGCTAAATGTATCACCTCACAAGTCCATTTCAGGGCCAGTTAAAGGGCAGTCAGCTGGTTTTGTAAAATTTCTCCATACCACACTGCCAGTAGCTCTAAAAGACTGTCATTATTTTCCTGCATAGAAATGGGATGTTGGAAGGAAATCCATAGATAAAATCATTTACCTTAATATGAGTAGATGTCTGTTTACATTCAGGGAACAGTAAAAGATTACATTTAATTTTGAATTATTTACACAAAGCTTATGAAATTTACATGTAAGTTATAAATCATGTATTCTACCAAGCACAGTAGGGAAGAACTTGAGTAATAGAAAATCCATCACTCTGAATTTCTTAGCTTCAGAACACTTAAATAAGAATTCAATATATAAAATATTTTATTGTGTATCAGGCATTCTGCTGGCTGCTTTGTGGACACATAAACCCTGTCCTCAAGAAGTTGGCAGTCTACTAGATGGGGAAGACACTGATGTGTAAATACATGTACAAAGTCGTGTTTTGCAAGATGGGTCACAGGAGAGAAAAACTGGGGAAAGGCATAAACCGGGAGGGACACTGGCCCAGCCTAGAGAAAAGCAGAACAAATAAGAGATGGGGCAGCTGATGATGAGGAAAGGGGGCGGGCAGTCACAGGTAAAGACACATGTAGGCTCAAATCTGAGAATTCTAGTGCATCAATTCCTCTTCCTTTCCCACCCTCTCATTAAACCCTTTAAACAATAGTAGAAACAAATAAAAGTGATAAAAAGGCCAAGTACAAAGAAACTGCTATAACATCAACTTCAACAAACTTGGCCATCTTCCAGTGTCTTGGTGAATGTTACCACTAAGCCAAATCCAGGGATTCATCCTAGATTTCTCCTTGGCCTTCAATGCCCACATTCCATCATTCAAGCTCTAATAATGCTACCTCCAAAACAGGTACCTTTTTACATAGATTCCCCTCTATCCACACTGCACTGTTCTTGCTCTCCCCATCTCTTTTCTTTGAACTGTGGTATCTGGGTTTAGTCACTCCAACCCTCTACTTGATTGCCAGGATACTACAGAGTAGGATCACCGACAAAATAAAATGCCGGCTCAATTGCCTGTCGTGAAAGGTGTTTTTTGATCTGATCCTTCTGAATGTCACATGACCTTCTACTTCTTCATTCCCTTTTCTACTTCCAGCTTTATTCTCCAAGAATATCGAGGATTGCTAGTTCTAGGAATGCACCATGGTTTTGCACTCTTATGCCTTTTCACTTGTGGAATACTAGCTAATAAGCAGTGCTCTTTTTAGACCACATGACTGCACTAGTGAGTTGATGGATAAATAAATGAATTTATTGTAGGCCTGAGTTGAAATTTTCAGTGCCTCAAATAGAATGTGTTTTGTTCTTCTAAATGGTTCTCAACTAGATGGACCATTTAAACAACTAAGCACTGGCACTTGGTTAGGCAGTGGGATAACAAAGACAATCACTTATAATCACTGCAAACAATATAGCATTCAATATTCAGAACAAGTCAGAAATTTAAAAATTTTATATAATGTCATAGGTCACATACATGGTATGATAAATTAGTTATCGCTACTTAACATGTAATGAGAGCCTAATAAATACTTGAAACAAGAAGGAAAGAAAGTAAAAAAGCAAGCAAGAAAGAGAAGGAAAGAGACAGAAAAAAAAATAGTTTGAATTTAAAGTCCAAGAGACATGGGCTTCTAACATATTTTAAGCCAAGAAAGTCTTGTAGAAACACTTTATAAGAAAACCCCACATGGAAAGGAAGTATTTATTCATTTCATTACGTCTACACAACTTATTGCTCATTGCTAAATGCTTGGACTCTTGTAGATGAAGGAGACATAGTAAAGAAAAAGATAGATAAGGTCTCTGTCCTCTGCTATCTTACTGCTAGCAGAGAAGATAGATAATAAGCAACATGAGAGATTTTCAGATGTTATAAATAATAGGAAAGTACGGGTTTGGCTACTTATGATACGGTGACTGAGGAAGCCCCTGTGAGGAGGAGGTAATGCTTGAGTTGAGACCTGGATAAATGAAGAGCAATCCAGGCACAAAAAAATCACATGCACAGGCCTGAAGTGGGAAAAAACTTGCCAAGTTCAAGAGACAGAATGAAGAAAAATGAGATAGCGGGTGCACAGTGTAAAACGAAGACAAAATAATAGGCTCAGTAGAAACTTACAGGCATTTTTATAAATTGGTGAGGAGCTAATGGAGAGTAGGTAGTATAGGTAGTAAGCACGAACGTGATTGTTGTTTATCACCATAAACATACTCTGAGGACTGTGAAGTTCCTCTCTTGTCTCATGCCTGCATTCCACATAGTTGGCACTAATTGCACTCCATTGCTTGGTTTTCACTAATGGCATATACGTGTGTGTGTGGGTGTGTGTGTATACATATATATAACTGAATGATGTTCAGTTCAATTGAATAAACATCTGCTGAGCGTAAATTATGTGCCCATCACTAAGCTTAGTGATAGAAGTACCAAAAGGAAAGTCATGCATCTACTCTTAGAGATTATTCAATGCAGAAAGAAGGGCAGGTTCACTAACATAATTTCAGAATAATACATTAAGTGCTAAGGTAGAAATATTGAAGCATTGAGGGGAGGCTTGATTATTCCAGGCTGGTTGTTTGGGGAAGTTTTCCTGGAAGAGGTGACACCTGAGTTTTTGGTTAATTAACCAGGCCAAAGAGGATATTCTGTGCAGAATGAAAGCATAAGCTAAAGAAGAGCCACATTTTCATGTAGATGGTGCAAAGAAGGTCATTCAGGTCAGTATCACCAAAGCTTAAAGTAGAAACTGGGGACCAGTGAAAAATGAGATTTGTGACATAAACAAGAACTAGATTAAGAAAGTGTTCAAAGCCATTTAAAGCTATTCAAACACTATCCTGATATCAATTAAAAGTCATTGATGGATGTTGAAGAATAGATTGGACCTAGTCAGATTTGCATTTTAAATATATCTCTGGCAGCTGGTGGGAAACATATTGGACATATTTTTCCCCAGCTACCATTCTGGAAGAGAACTGCTTTTCTAGAAATGCCAAATTTCTTCTGAATTCTTAACATTTTTTAAAAGCATAATAGAAAAAATTTAAAGGAAGTTACCCTATATTTTCCTCATAGTCTCCCACATTCTTTTTCAAATTCACTTTATAGTTTTAACGCATAACGGCAAAGAAGAAGAATTAAAAATGGGTTTTGGCTTGTTTTGGTTAGCCAGATGTTCTGCTAATAGAAGCCTGAGATGGCCTCAGTTTTCTAATATTACTCATGTTTCAGATTCCAAGATTGCAGTGAATTCGTCTGACCCAGATACGACAGAAGATCCTCTCTGGTGAATATGTGCAACCGTTCTGAACCTCTCTTTTGAAAACTTTACTCTTCTTCTGATTTGATTCCATAATTGGAAATTAAATGGAAACTCATGCCTTCCTAAAAGTGTTGTAATTACATATTTTGTATTTCTTTTACCTGAAGTTGTCTGTTGTCATCTTATACATCTTACTTAGGAGCCATTGACCTTGTGGCAACGCTCCGAAGCATCACTCTCTGTTCAAGGCACCACACACCTGCAGTGAAGATGCAGGGATTAGGTGTATGTTTCAGGTGTCTATAGTAGGCTCAAGTTAGCTCACTTGTCTGGAAACTTCTAATACCTTCAGAATCATAGCCCAGCTTAAAGTCTTAGCCAGTATTTCTGTGCACATTTCACTGGTATTACAAATCAATCACTGTCACATTCACCTCACTCATCACTGCAGTAATTATTTTAAGAACTTGTGCTTGTGCCATTTTGTATTCACAATTAGGTATAATTGGCTAATGAAAATATGATATTGTTTATAAGTACATTTCTCTGCAGAGAAGATAAAAAGGGTCTTTTTTTCTTTTTTAACATTCAAAAAAATTTTTTTTTCACACTAATGACTAATGACTAAGCATTTGCAGAGTTTTATCCAGAAAAAGATTAGTCTCAAGGGTTAATCTTTAAATTCCATTTTTGCTGCCCCTTTTTCCAGTATTTGCTGTTCCCCAACTTCATCCATATCAAAGTCATTAAATATCAATACCATCAGTTTCTTCTTTAATCCAGGCCAAATATTCTTATGCTTTCTCTTCAAAGGATCATATGCATGAATGTGTTCACTTGCTTATTTGTTCTTTCATTATTAAATTTATTTACTGAATTATTACACTTATTTCTCTCAAATCAAAGTTTGAAAGACAGTCTAGTACAATCAAAGCCCCTGGATTAGGCACCAGAAACCTGGATGCAATTCCTAGGTTTGTAACAAACTCTGTGAACCTCGCAGATAATTTAGCTTCCTTAGACCTTAGTTTACTCATCTAAAAATGGGACTGATTCAATCACTACCCACTTATTTTAATTAGGTCTTCATAAGCCTCTTACAAAGGCTAATAACTGTTAACTCTCCAGAAAATAAAAAAATGCCCATACCCACATACATATAAAATTTTGCATTTATTTCTTGGGACTCATAGAATCCTAAAACCTGTGGATAAATGTCCCAGAGATTCGCAGGCTCTTGGTTAAGAGCCATGAACTAAAAGGCCTCTAGCTTTCTAGTTTTACAGACCCTTGCTTGTCAAAGTGTGGTTTCCAGAGTAGGAGTTTACTTAAGAGTTTGTTAGAAATCTCCCATCCCAACCCAGATCTATTGAATAAGAATCTGCATTTTAATAATATCTTCAGGTGATTCACATGGACTGTAAGGTTTGAGAAGCACAGCTATAGCTTGGTTTAAATAAATGTCATATGAAAGCAGAAAGGAAGGTGGGATGATTATTAAGATGGATTGGAGGTGCTTTCCTTTTCTTTTGTCTGCTTTGATACACCAAAATACAGACAAACCACAGCAATGGTTTTTAATCTGGGACTCAGCTTCATGGATGAACTGAAGAGCTCTCCAGTGAAAGAAACTTAAGGTTCTGTAAGGAAGAAACAATTTACATTATGTTATATTTGAGTTAATAACAATCATGATTAAATGTACATGTTATGGGGAAGTTACCACCGCTAAAGGCCCTACTGACAAAATGGGAAGAAACAAAACCCAAAAAGTTAGTTTAACCAAGTAATTCTACTGATAGTCATTTATGTGAATTACTTAGCATTTATGTCTAATAATCATCTGCACCATCACGATTATGCAAACCATGAACAGACTCAATGTATCAGATTAACATTGCTCTTGGTTTTATTTAATTATAATAGCAAATTTCAGATATATATTTACTCTTCATAATTTGTTACTCTTGCAGCATGGAAATCTGCTTAGAACCTTACAAAATTAACTCAAATATTATTTTAAAGAACATCTTGGATGAAAATTATGTTTTAAATATTAAGCTATTTAGTATTTATATAGAATCTCGATTCTGAAGTATAAAGGTTTTGGCTCAAAATATATAAGAAATCTAAAATCAAAAGTATTCTTTTGCAGATGAGAACTTTCATAATATTATTATTAAATATTATATTATATTTTAATTATAATACTGTATTATATTATATTAATATAATAAACATAATGTATTATATTATATTAATATAATAAACATAATGTATTATATTATATTAATATAATAAACATAATGTATTATATTATATTAATATAATAAACATAATGTATTATATTATATTAATATAATAAACATAATGTATTATATTATATTAATATAATAAACATAATGTATTATATTATATTAATATAATAAACATAATATATTATATTAATATAATACATATAATATATTATATGTATTATATTATATTAGTATAATAAATAAATTATATTATATTTTAATTATAATATTATATTATATTAGTATAATAAATATGTTATATTTATTAGTATAATAAATTATATTTATTAGTATAATAAATATAATATTATATTTTAATATAATATTATATTAGTATAATAAATATAATATTTTATTATATTTTAATTATAATATTAAAATTAAGATATCTTTTGAAGTTCTCCTGGGTAAATATTACATTGATCTTCAAAACTATGGGCCAATATTTCCAAACTTACCTCTTAAAAATGGAAGAAATTAAATGTGTTGTATGCATGTATTAAGAGATAAAAGGAAATTGAATAAGATATAAGAGAAAATAAGGTTATGGGTGGCAAAGGAAGATGAGATGAAGAGTGTGAAATTCAAGTCTAAATATAGAGTGACATTTACTGTTCCAAGAAAAGAAACAGGGGAGTAAATAATTTGTTTTCAATGCATTTATGCACTTTTTTGTCATACCAATAATAGTAATTCAGTAATGCTCCCAGAATAAATAGGATCTCTTCTCTCTCTCTGACTTTGTCCTTCTCTCTTCATCTCTCTTTTTTCCTCATTTCCTCTTTCCCTCCCTCCCTCTCCTCATATGTGTAATAGTGCATTTTGGTTTTATGGAGAGGACATAATCTATTACAGAAGGTAATTATATCATTTTTTCTAATAAAGATTTCTTCTCTTTAGTAACTTCATGACCTTAAGTGAATTAATTGAATTGATGACTTTTTGTCCCTCTTTTATCAGAGCTTTTAGAAAATTGTAGCTAATTTGCCTATGTTCTCTTATTTAAATCATTTGCTTATCTCCTCTTATCCAAACAACTGATACCTTGTAGTTCCCAAACCACTATTCTCATGCTTCTGCTTTGTAATAGGCCATTGTTCCAAAACTGATCTTTCTTACAAAGTTAAAAGTTGAAAAACAAGAGAAATCATGGCTAATTTCCTTTTTTCACCTCCAGTTAAGAACTTTGGTAGCATTCTTTGCACCTGTTAAACAAGCCCTCTGGGGTCTTGCAGGGATAAGTTTGGGGTCTGGAGAGGCATAATTTAGGGTATAAGGATGTAGGTGGTGGTCTTCTAAGCACATATTTAAATTGCCCTTATTGTAGTAAGTGTGTGATAAAGAACCATTCTGTTCCGTTGCTTCTCAAATGGATTCATGCTGATTGATTCATTTCCTAATCTAGGGCATTTATCTTGCACTGAAATATTTACACACTAGTTCAATAGAAATTGTTAAATAAAGACAATAATTTAAAAAATAATGTAAGAACATGTACTGCTCCTTACATGAATTATACTTTATGGTCCATTTTGGTATTGCTTTATTGTTTATTTTTTCTGCTTTTTTTTTCTCCGCCAGTTTGATTTCATATTGGTTATTGGATATAATTCTAAATAAAACAGGGACAGTATAAGTAGGTAATAGGGTTACAGTGCTTAACCATAACCTCATAGGCAATTATCTTTCAGTAATAGTTATAATGATAAAATGCTCCTCTACTCCTTCTAATGATGATGTAGCTCTACCTCTTCCCAAGTTGGTACAGAGGTTGCCTCTGCTTCTGTGCCTGCTTCATCAGAAGGGTGATGTGCTGGAGGAATGAGCCAAAAGATATGAAGATCAAGAACTAAGATGGAAATAAGAAGAGAATACTGAAAAAGTGCTACCAATGGGAAGTCAGTTTGACCCTGCTTATCCAGCACTGTATAGGGCTTATATTTTCTGTCTTCTTGTTTGTCCTATGGTTTCCCTTCCTAAGTTAAATGTCTTTATGCCTTTTTTTAAATTTTGGAGGGTTTTTTTCTTAATTTAGGGTGTTTAAGTAAGTTTAGGATGAATATGTGTGTGTGTGTATTTGTGTATATATTTATGAATGTGTGTATTTATATGTAAGCATATATATGTATATGTGCATTTGTGTGTGAGTGTATTTGTATGTGTGTTTACATATTTGCTAATTTGTATTTGTATGTACATAAGAACAAATATGTGTTTGAATTTGAGTGTGTATGAATATTTATATTTTGGTATATCAGAAGACAAATTTATGAAAGAAGACAGCTTGTCTATATAATTGTTTAGTTTGAAAAAATTAGCTGTCTAACATATTCTGTGCTATTTATACAACTGGTCTATGTCAATAAAATTTTTATGTGCCTCAGGAAAATAATTTTAGGGTGAAGGGAAACTGACCTTGGACAGTTTTCCAGGGATTTGGACAATTTTCAGCCTATATAATTAATTGTTTCTTACATGTTTTCTGGACCTGCTGTTTCAATTGAATGTGGAGTCATTTCCCTTTATAAGTAATTTTATTCTATCTGTGGATTGCTGTACCCCATTTTAATGGTGGCTCTGTCTCATCAATCATGAAAATGCTTCTATTCAATAGAAGTACACTAACTGTTTAGCAGCTTTAATTAGTGATCAAAAAGTTCTCAGTGAGACTTAGATGTAAGGTCTCACAAGCTGAAAAGTATTACAATTACTCTTTATTCAGTGAAAGTCAATCCAATATATTCAAAATCTTAGAACAAAGCTTGGCAGTGGTTATGAAACTACTGATAACAAATAAGCTTTTAATATTTTTTCATACTTTCACTAGCAGAGTGGTTTGCTTTTACGCTTCCTTTCTTTTTATCTGCATAAGGTGTAATTAATTATACAGAATTTCAACTCTCATTGTAGAGAGCTGGAAACCACATGTAGTTGTTCTTAATAGCGTGGATTGTTTTCCTGGTTAGCAGCCTAGGAACTTCTTTCCGGGAATCAAAAAACCGTCAAAAACCGTCATGCCGAGTTGAACAGGATGCAAATCTGGCCTGAAGTTTTCTTACAATTGCTCTAATAACACGTACTGTTCCTCTACTCCTCAGGTTGCCATTAGGAATAAAAGCATATTATCTCAGTAGGATGCTGTTATCTCTCTGGTTACACAGCCTGCCTATAGACAGGGCCAGGCTTAAATCAGGAGCCTGAAACACTGTGAGACCACATGGATAGAGATAATAATGAAGGGACTCCCAGTTTACATAACCTGGTTAAGAACAGGGAGTTCTGAAAAGGAAATATGGGTGAATTTTACTGCCTACTTTCACGTAAAGACAATAGTATTAAATTTCCCCCTACTGCAGGTATTCTTAACATTAAAATTTTCAAAGTTATATTTTCAAAGAATATTTTTCAACTAGGTATCTAGGAGAGTAAAATTTAAAGAAGTAATGTACTCTAGAGTTACTCAGATATTTAATATGTAGTATACAAGCATATTTGAGTAATCCTTCCTTTCTTTTCTTTCCTTACTACTTGTCTTTCTTTCTAGTGTCCTTTACTTTATTAAAAGTTAACATGTATTATGCGAAAAAAATTACTGACTGAATAAGGTTGGAAACATAAAATTAAACAACAACATTCATAAATTAAGTCACTTAATTTAAAAAGGCATATCATAGTCTCTCCATAGTCATTAGGGATAGAAAGTTGACACTGAGCTTCCTAGCAGCCATTAAAAAGAGGCTCATTCAATAAAATCAGTAACAAAATAAGTACGACTCCTCCGGGAAACAAAGTGTGAGAAACATTTCTCCTGTAGATTATCATAAAAGGACTCTGTATTATGTAATAAACTGGATTTTTTTTAAAAGTCCTATTTTAAATGTAACAATATGTTCCACAGAGCTCAATGTAAACTGAAAACATAACATAGGTACATCAGTTCTGCAAAAGGTGAGAATAATGCAGTCTTGGTACACAGGTCTCAAGTTTAGAATATTTAAAGGAAGAACTGCAAACTGGAAAGCCATAGGCCACATTGGCTACAGATCTTTCAGTTGTCATTTTTATTTAGTTAGTTTGAATGCCTGGGAATGAGTGTTTCTCAAACCAATTGAAGTAAAGTACTAGTTTTGTTTTAAAATTCTTCTCCATCAAGAATTTTGTAAAATATACTGAGAAATAAATTACTAGGAAAAATATATTTAAAAAGACTTAAAAGTAGAAGTAAAGTATTTAAATTTGGGGCCAATTTCCTTAGAGCAATAGTCAATTCTTCAAAATGTACTAATCAATATAACTAAGTTTTTGATGACTAGTAGATGGAGCAGGTCAAAGGTATACTTCCTTATAAATTGCTAGGGAATAAATATTCTGTTGCTCTATTGAAGGATACACTATTTGTTAAGTAATTACTGTCCAGTTGTGGGCAGATAATCTTTTACTAGACCAGTTTGCTACACTGGGCCGTGATCTTGGGGGGCAGTCACCCTAACTCTACTTAAAGGTAAGTTATCCCAGTATATGTTTACTAGTCTGACTACAATGCTTAATAGCACCAGCAAACCATGCAACCTCTCTAAATTATAGTTTTTTTTATCTACTAATCTGTCTCAAAATCCTTTCCCAATAACTCTTCAAGGTTAAGTTTAGATTAAGATGATTGGATTTAATAAAGATTTCATTAATATAGATGTGTGTCAATACTTTGGAATAATGCAAAATGTTATTTACCAAAATTAGGTTGTTTACACACATACACTCAAATGTTCAAATTGCAAGGAATTAAAAATATGTGAAATAACCATCTCTAGGCACTGTTAGAAAGTGCCTAACATGTAGACCTACCTAATGGGACTTCTCTCATTCTTCCAATCATGATTTTTTAAAAATCAGGTTTACTGAAATATGATTTGCAAACAGATTATTAATCTTTTTAAAGTGGCAAGTTCTATGAATTTTGACAAAGGCCTACAAACCACCAGTGTATATCCAGATATAGCACAGTTCCATCACCTCCAAAATCTTACTTCTTGTCATTTTAAAATCAGCCTCAACTTCCCACCCTAACCCTTCGAAACCACTGATATGTTTTCTGTTCCTACGTTTTTATTTTTTTAATGTTGTATAAATGTAATTGTGCAGCATGTAGCCTTTTGAGTGTATTTTTTCACTGGGCAGTAGTTCAATCCTTTTTATTGCTAAGTAGTATGTCATTGTATGAATATACCAGTTTGTTACTTATTCAGCAGTTGATGGACACTTAGGTTGTTTCTAGTTTTTGGCAAGTATGGGTATTCATTCACACTTAAATATTCATTATAACTTTGTATGTAGAAACACATGTTCATTCTACTTGAGTAAATACCTAGAAATTGTATTGCTGGGTCATATGATATTTGTATTTTTAACTTTATAAGGAACTATTAAACAGTTTCCAAAATTGCAGTACTATTTTGCATCCCTTCCAGCAATGTACCAGTGTTCCAACTGCTCCACATTTTCACTCGGACTTGGTAAGGTCATGATTTTGTTTGTTTGTTCTGTTTTCATTTTGCTCTAATAGGTCTACAGTGATATCTTACTCTGATTTTAATTTTTTTAATTTTCTTAGTAATTACCAGTGTTGAACATCTTTTCACTACTTTTTTTGCCTACCATGTATCTCCATTGTTAAAATGTCTGTTCAAATATTTTGCAACTTGTTTTATTGGGTTATATGGTTTTGATCATTGAATTGTGAGAATTCTTTATATATCCTGCATATCAGTCCTTTATGATGTGTATTTTGTAAGTATTTTCTTCCATGTTCTGCTGTTATTGGGTGGAGTATTCTATAATTATCATTTATGTCAAACTGTTTGAGGATGTTGTTCAGGCCTTCTATATAGTTACTGATTTCGACTCATTCTATCAACTACAGACAGAGGAGTTCTGGTCATCAGAAAAACCCATAGTTGTGGATTTATCTTTTTATCCTTTCAGTTTGATCAATTTCGCTTCTTGGATTCTGAAACTCTGTTCTTAGCTGCACCATATTTGGGATTGTTGTTGGTAAATTTATCCACTTATTGCAGAATTTGTGATCTGTGATAATATTTCCTTTCACTTCTCACCTTCATTTTGCTCTTTCCTGCTCTTTCAATTTTTATGCCATAATTCTCCATCCTTTCATGCAGATTGTCCACTTTTTCCTATTAGGTTCTTTAATACATTAGTCATAGTCCCTGTTTGATAATTTCAACTCCTGGATCATCCCTAAGTCTGGTTTTGTTCATTGCTTGACTTCTTTTGACAATCGTTTTTCTTTCTTTAAATTTTTGTATATCTTATAATTTGTCAATTAAATGTCAAATATCAAGTGCAAAATAATTGGGAATGATGCCAATCATTTATACCTAGAAACAGAGTGTACTTTTGCTATTCTGAAGCCATTCGTTTGGGGCATTGAGTTACTCTAGTCAAGAGTTGATCTTCAGGATGCCAAAGACTTCACATTCCTCTAGCCTTGTGCTTAGGATGTGGGATGCGAGCTTGAATAGACTGGGATTTTGTGCTTTATCTGAAGTGGCAGCCAATCCCTTACTCTGCACCTGTATTACCAAGAGGCTCCCTCCTGTCCCCACCCTGCTTCCAATATTTCTCATACGTACCTAGTGGAAGTCCACATATAAGCCCCAATGGGTGACATCAAACTACCCTTGCGTCAGGGATTACCAGAGTTTCTAAACTGTCAGTCAGTCTTTGGCAATTTGTAATGATTTTAGCTTTTTACAGAATTTCTTGTTAGATAATTTAGATAATAATAATTTCTATCATCGCTTGTATGACAGCCAGGTCCTATTCTATTCTCTGCCACATATGACACTATCCCCATGACTCGTTTCTCAGTGGAGGAACCTATCATTTCCTGAAAACCTAGATATTTGTTTGCCTGGTGAACTCGGTTTTACAACAGGTTTAACAAAAGTTATGGTTTTGTAGTTCCTCTGGCTTTGTTTTGTGATGGTGGGATTGATAGTCTTTCCAGTTTTGTTCATCCTGGTTAAAAGAAGAACTCCTCCTGTTCATGAGTTTTAATTCTTGTGGAAAAAATTTTATACCACTGTGACTGAATAATTATTAAAATAGATAACTTCTTTTCTAAGTGATTACTTCATATTATCATGGAAAGTATGATTCTAATTAGCTCTTCCGTGCTCATTATATGCTTCTTCCTGCATTATTATATAATATTCTGAAAGTTCCAAAGTTCTCCTAGTTGCTGATTATCGAATTGGATTATCCAATTGTCACTTGCTAATTGTCTATTTGGGAAATAGGCTCATTTTATTTGTTACAAACTGAAATGATTATGTCTTCTTAAATTCTTAAGTATGGAGAAGATGTAACATTTATTGAATTAGAATTTACAGTGCCAGTCAGTGTTTCAAAGATTTCTACATATTATCCAATTCCATATTCAAAATAATTAAGCAAAATTTTTATGTAATAGGAAAAAGAGTCTCAGATATACTAAGAAATTTGACTTTAATCTCTCAGCTAAATAGTTGATATTAAGTCTTTGTTTAATTAAAAACATTAAACATTACTCAATGTTTAATTAAGCATTCCTTTGCCATTAAAAATACTGGCCAAAACCACAGTGATTTTGTACCAGTCGAACAGTTAACTCAATAAACAGGTAAGAATTTGAACCCAGTTATATCTGGTTACAGCTCTGTGTTTTTTTTTCCATGTAACGCAGTGTTTCCATGAAGCCCTATTATAATATAGGTAAATATTTGTCTCTATTTTTCTAGAACTTCTACTTTGCCCCTTCTTCTCTCTACAGAATTTCTTTGTTTTTCTGTTGTTTGATATCTTCCTCTTTTCTTCTGCACAAGATTGCCACTGGCATACTCCAAGCAAGCCAGTCATTTCTTGACCTTCCATTCTTCCCATAAAAACATATCTGTCTTGTGTTTGATTCACTCCAACCTTTTTATTCCTTGAAATGACACACATATTTTATAAGTTCTAAGGTATTCACATGTTAATGTTGCTATTAAATAACAAGGCAATGTAGGGACAAAAAAATTACAAAAACCTGTTTTTTTATGAAGAAAACAGCAAAACATTGGCTAATGAAAATCCAAGAATTTAGAATTCTTAAATTTCCAAAATGGCTCTGGAAAAAAAGCAGAAAAATACAGCCCTTGAAGTGAAGTGAAGACACAGCCAGCCCTTGAATAACCAACAAATAAAGAATAAAAGCCAGAGAACCCATCACTTTATCTGATCCTTCAAGTTCACTGCACAGAAGGAAAGGGCAGCTGTCCCTTAGAGACAGTCCTTTTGTTGATGTTTTTGTTGTTTTTAGAATATGAGTAAGCAATAAGAGTCAGAAGAAATTGGAAAATTTGAGAAAAGAGGAAGGGGAGAAGTACACCAGATTTCAGGGTTGGCAGCACTGGCGATAACAACAATAATGATTAGGTGGGGTGGTGACAGAAACCGCAAAGGTAGATATGAGCAGCAGACATCTATCTGAACGCAAGAGAGAGAGAAAAAAACTATGACAAAGAAATAAAGAAAGAACATCTGTGCATCAGGGCAGAGAAAGGGACATGTATTCATCTTCAGTCTACCTCTTTGAAAAAGAAGAAAGGCGAGATGCTTTGAAATTTCTAATGCAGGGTTAGAATAGAAGTAAATTCTGTATAATATAAATCAGTGACTCCAAACCTTTTGATAATTAACCAAAGTCTTACATTTAATTTTGTGAGGCTCTCTTCAATGTCTAAAAGTATAAAAGCGATATAAAATCTTAAAGTTTCACTATAAATGCAAAATTTGAAATGTTTCAGGATGTCTCAAAACTGGGAATGAGTATCAGGATATGAATATTTACATGACTATAAGTAAAACAATGGTCATTAAGAAATTTTATAAATTATTTCAGCTATACATCTTCCATTCAGTTATTCATCATGGGACATAATTGTCTGGAATATCTGAAAGTAAATTCAACATTAACAGACACTGTTACTTTCAGTTCATCTCTACTAGCATTTATTGGATACTCACCATGCTTCAGTTGGGGAGGTAGGCACTAGGAGTACGAAGAGTAATAAGCAACAAGTTTTAATTTCAGAGTAATCCAGTCAGGGAAACATAAATATATAAGGCCAATATGATGTTGTAAAGGCATAAAATGGTACAAATAAACCTGCCATTGTGTTAATACAAAGAAAGGCATGTGTCCAAGCCTAGTGTATAGGAGATGCCTATTAGAGAAGATGACAATTATGCTCAGTCTTGAAAAAATTAAACATATTAAAGCAGCATTGCACCTTTTTCTTTTGATTATTTAGGAAAATTTGGACACCCTTCAAACTATAAAGCATTGGAGAAATATTATGGCCATGGGAAATATGTAATAACACATTTTTGCTTAATGATTTTGATTTACAATACATTATAATTACACAAAGTATATGCTTAATATATTTTGTGGTTTAGGCTCACATTTTTACTTCCTGACATAGAAATTCCCAATTCTTTAACACGCCCTATGCTGTAATCTATATAGATTATAGTCAGAAATTACTAATTTAGACTCTAATATTGCAGCTTAAATACAATATATTTGTTCCAAAAGCTTCCTTCTTATTTTCTATCTTAGTGAAAGGTTCATCAATCTCAGATAACAAAAGTTTAATGCATTCCATCAGTAGGAAATAGCAAGGATGAACATATATCATACCACAGATAAGAAGCCTATCCAAACAGTCACTTATTGAAGTCTTTTGTCACTACTGGGAGACAATTTTCCATGGGTCTTTCACATTTTGCACATCTTATGAAAGAATCATTGACTGCTTTTGTTTTGAACTGTTTTAAGAACATGTTTGTAAAGCAGACAGCCTTGGATAGAAATAGTATCTTCTGGAACAAAGAGAGGCATGTTCACTGCCCATTATAAAGGGGTGACATTCCTTAAATTGAGGGCCTTTTTGTTTGTAATGTGTATACTTCATGTTGCCTTGTGGAAATTGGGACCCAGGGAACAGGACCAAAATGTTGATATTTTTGCTACTGCTATTGCTGTGAAAAATAAATTGTCCTTCATCTCTGACCTAGGAGTCTATTGTTTTCTACCAGCATCCATTCAACTGTGGCAGACTTTCATGTTAAGTTGTGAGCAGAGAAAAATCTCAGACCCTTCAGAGATTTTTATAATGTTAGTGATGAGGATGGGATGCTGACAAAGTCATGGCTTTCTGGAAGAGAAAAGATGAGAGCCCTGCAGGCCTATTAAATATTCCAAGTTAATTGGGTTATGCCATGAACCACCACCACATCACTTGAAACTTATAGTACATATGAAGTCTCTCTCCTTCCCTGCTCTCTGATTCCTCTCTGTCCCTGTACCACGACCTCGCTTATTTACACAGAAACATAACTAAGGGTCCATATCCCCAATAAGTATCAAAGGATATACACACTCATCCAAGAATGTTGAAAAATTTCAGGAAGATAAATATTTGAGAGAAGTCTGTAAGAATCAGTAACAAAGATGTTTGCAAATTATATGGGCCACTGGGCGATAGACAGTCCTTCACTTCTTTGCCTTTTAATGAGGAGGAATCAAGGAGGTCATTGCAAGCTAAATAACAAAAATAGGTAAAATACAGATGCCAGAATTTTCCTCTAAATGGAACGAGTTCCTTGTCTGAGAATTCCAGACTGGAATCGAGTCCAGTCTCAGACCTGCAGCACTGTAACAACTAATACTAAGATTTGCACTGGGTAGGCAGAAGCTTCTACCCTCTTTCAGACAATAGTAAAGAGTAATGTGTACATATATTGAGTGTGAAAAGGGAAATCTGTAGCCAGAAACCAGGTGAATCATTAGAATTTTGGCTCACAATGGAAAGGAGGGGGTTATGGATCATACTGCTTCTCAAGGAATCATGGCAAATGCTGTGTTGACTTACAGCTAAATCTCGCCTTCGTGCCAACCTTAGATCCACTTGGAAGTAATGAGAAAATCTATCAAAGGTTTTTGCAGTGGGACTTTGCTGCTATAAGGAAGCTTTACTCCTCTTGAGGAGATTTTTCTGAGACAGAAAAACTCCTGTGGAAAACCACAGATGAGGCATTGACTAGTATTTGGGCTCTTAATGGCCTGGATTGAGTCTAGAATTCTGATAAAATTGACCCACTAGAAAATTGAGAAAGAGACCCAAAGAAACCTAGGTAAATTCTTGAGGTTATCAACACTGTGCAGAGAAACTTCCCTATCCTTGATGCTGAAACTGGGAGAACTTAAGAGATATAAGATATTGCGGCAGCTAATGCCCCAAATTAAGGTGGATGCCTTAAAGTCACCATTGTGTGAGCCAAGACTGAGTCAGCCAGAGGTCACAAACCCCATACCCTAGAAAAACAGCAATGTATCTGTGGCTACTGAGTCAAAGGATCCCCAAGGATGAAATAGATGGTGCCAGCCACAGGAGTCCTGCTCCCAATATAGAGTATTGGCTGGACAACAATATTCTAAGTTAATTTGGTTATGCCATGAGCCACTGCAATATCATTGAAACTGGGATAATACATATGAAGTCTCTCTCCTCCCTTACCCTCTGATTCTTCTGTCCCCTTCTCCCATAATCTCAGCTTATTTAAAGAGAAATATTACTAGAAGTCAGGGTATCTCTATTCCCAATGGGTATCAAATGACATATGCACCTATCCAAGAATGTTGGGGAATTTCAGGAAAATAAGGGAATCAGACTTTTAGGATATTGGGATGTGGACACCTAAGTCATGTTTTTAACTGGATTTATAGAAAGAAAAGATTGTCTGATTTAGCTAATGGAGTTTAAGCAGTGTTCACAGTGAGAAAGGCAAGTTAACATCATCTCATGAATGGAGCCCTTTGGGCCAATTCCATGTACTGTTGTATTTTCTATATCCGATTGTATAGTAATTAATATATTAAGTGCTTATACTTCATCATCAGTTAAGTGCCTGGGGAGATTATCACAATTGGGAAAGGCCAAATGTAGTGAAGTGCTAAAGGGACACATAAATCACTTTCTGGTCTTGTTCTCTATTTCCTCCCAGATGGTCCAACAAAAACAATAAGAAGAAAAAGAGGAAAGAAAATCACAGCCTTGATTACAGACTTGAAGGGAACATGGGTGCTAAGAGATGCAGTGTTTTAATACAACAGCACTGTATGACCAGTGAAACAGTGTAATGAGAGCTAGAAGCTTGGAATGGATTATCACCAACTGAATCAAGTTGTTAATCCCATAATCCCAACTATTCATGTAACTGAATCCATTGCACAGATTAAACTCTTGGTATCCTGTCTTGGACTGTGCCAGTACCAGCTTTTCTATACCACTGGCTTCTGAGGACAAAGATCAAGTCACAACATAGCCACCAATATACATTTGTAGTAACCTCCCACATTACTACAGGTTACTCCCAGGGGTACCAACATTCCTCTGCCATTTGCCATCAGTAGTACATAAGTCAGCATAAGTGTCCCTACTCTCCATGGTGCAAAGCTTTCACTATACAGATGATGTCCTGTTAATCAGCCAGTTAGAAGCTTCCATTGCAATGGAAATTGACTGTGGTGTTATCACACTTCTATCAACCACGGCAGCTGATAAATTCTGACAAAATTCAGGGTTCTGATTGTCAAATAAAGTTTCTTGGGACTAAATGAGCAGATTCACAATGTTTAATCCTTCTGGTAGTCAAAGAAAAACTGCTGTCTCTTCATCCCCAACAAACAAAAACAATGTTCAGCACCTTATTGGGACATTTGGGCATTGGAGATGGTGTGTTCCTCACTTGGAAATTCTACTTGGACTTCTATATTAGCTGGTCCAAAATATCAGCATCTTTTGAATGAAGCAGAAACCAACACACTGTGTTAGTAGGCTGTGGCCTTCTCTCTATATTTGGGGTCCCACATCCCTAATTAACCTGTGAGCTACCAGTTTCTGTGACTAATGATTTTTCTAATTGGAGCCCCAGGAAAACGTAAGCAGCTTCCATTCACAGGAGCCCTTTGGGATTTTGGACAGATCACCTCCTTAACATACAGGATATACACGTACCAGGTACACCTCATTTGAAAAGCAGCTATTAGCTTGCTACTGGGCTCTTGTCAAAACTGAACTCCTGATCCTGAAGACCTTATGACTGTCTGGCATACTATTTCATTTTGGGGTGTACCAACTCAGATTCAATGACGAACAAAGGTAAAAAGGGGTCCTATGAACCTCGCTTATAAAATAGAAAGAGTATATTCCAGCTTGTAGCTTGCCCAGCTCTCCAGTGCCATCTCACCTTTACATGAAAAAGTGGCTCATTCAACTGTTGCAAGTGCCTTAAATTTAACTCTCTGCCAGATCTGCCATCCCACACCAGAAAGCTCTGACCATGATTTGATCTATATTCACCTTAACAAAAGCAAAAAAACTACTGGAAATATCAGGAGATGGTCTCAGTTTCTGCATTTCCCATGCAATACCTGTCAACACCTCCAGATGTCTTTCCCACTCCCATTTCTGTAACTCTTGCTTAACCATTCAGTGCAGACAGACAAACACAATTAAGCTGTTGGTGAAGACAAATAGGACAAGTTGGATTGACTGCCTTCATGCAGCCTCTTCAAAACAAGGAGTACAACCAGTCACTCATACTTAACTTAGTGGGTTAAATTAGTCTCAGACCTTTTAGGACCCTTGAAAGTCAGCAGGAATTGACTAGTGAAATAGCTCAGTTGGCTCTCTACAGGTCAGGGCAGTGAAACATCGTTATCACTAACACCTATGTCTTGTAGCTCATCTCATGTCAAAGATTTCCCCATTTTTCCTTGAAGCTCTCTAATCATATTACCCATGTAACTCAGACACTTTCTTCACACAACGAATGTCATGAAAACATAAAGTTGTAAAGTATTCATAAAACAGTCAACAAGTTAGGAGGTATATTTTTCCCTCTCATGTAAAAATTGAAGACCTTATTTTTTTCTCTTGGTAAACCAATATTGAACATAAATTAACCAGATCCTTCATGGGCGTAAGCTATTCCTACTATAGTATAATTCAGGTACCTTCAGAAGCTGTTTGGAGCCATTATTTTTTTCAATAACATATATATTATAAACTTTACCTGGCTATAAAAGTAATTGTCCAGTCCGTGTTCTAGGTCAGATGACATGTAATACGTATTATTTAAATGCTGCCATATACTTCTCCCAAATTACTTAATGAGTCTATATTTTATCATCCCAACTATATGTCATCTTCCTTTTCTATCACTGAATTGCAACTGTTCAATAAACATTCATCAGAGTAAATAAAACATAGATAATTACAAATACCTTTTAAGGTTGTCTAACTTACTAAAGTGGTTTTTAAACTTTTGATTATAGGATAGCTATTACACATATTGTTCATAACCTCCTTCCCTGCATCCTCCGCTTGTACTTCTCTGTGAATATTCCTTGAAGATTTAAGTTTCTTAAAAGGTAAGCATTTCCTACTTACTTTAAAAGTATATACTTAGTTACATTTCCATTAAAAGATTACCCTATGACCTCCAAGGACTGAATCAACCACTGAATTTGTTAGTTTGGGACTACCTGTGTTCATACTACTAATAGGTTCCTGCATTGTCCAAAAAAAACAAAACAACAACAACAACAACAAAAAACTCTGTCAGAGTTAAAATTAGTATAGAAAGCAATGGAAACTTGCTTTTTTTAAGGAACTAAATAATTTTTGTTGTCAAGCCTTAGCCACAGCATGCCTAGATCCATGTTACACAAAACAGATTTTCTTTTTTGGTCTTTTTGAGTTTTTCCTGGACACCCTTGTTTAATACCAAGGTGACATCCCTAGGTTAAAGCAGCTGGTGTCTCATCACTCCTTTCTATTTGTTCTTACTGGCTTCTCCACTTAAACTCTAAGCTGCTTGAGGTCAGAGCTTAAATCATACTTACTCTTGTGCCTGCCATCATCACTTCAGTTCTTGCCCCATAGGCCCTCAATAAAGAGAGGCTGAATTGCACTCCAAAGAAACTATGTCAGGGGAGCCTTAGAAGTGTAGTTTTCCTCTCATCCAAATTTGCATCTTGATGTGCTATAAGAAGACCAATGCCTAAGATCAATGCCTCAGCTTTTGAATCAGCCACCCAGCAGTGCAAGATCACTGGTTCCCCTAGTTTACATCAGTCCAAGCACGTTTAGATAATATAGTGTTGTTCCAGAAAATGTAATGGAGATATCAAAATATGTCACCATGTTATTCTTCCTAGATGAAATGATGGTGATGAGCCACCATAACCAAGAATACAGTTTAGAGCTTATTTTTTTACGCAGTAATGATGATGGTTTCCTATTGATTTAGTCATTCACTTCCATTGATCCCTCTGGCTATCAGTGAAGAGAAAGCTAAAAGTGCCAGGATTTTCATCTGTGGGCTTGAAACTTTGTGAAACAAATTTACCTTCCCTGACCACCTGAGTTATTCACAGTCTATGGAGGTAAAAATTTAAAAATAAATAAACATATGGATACGAAACCTTCTCTGTGATGACATAAATATTGAATCAGCATGGAGATGAAACTGTAAGTGCATTTTGCTTACAGAAACTAAAATCTGTTATTTTAGGAATATTTTTCAGTCAATTGTCTATAAAAGCTTATATGGAAGTGTCCATGACATGCTATTAACATGAAAAACCTTACACTGCATAAGTGAGGAATTTCTAATAAAAATTATGCAAAAATGTTAAAAGATTTTTAGGTGGGCTAGTTGCAGTTTAATTTTTGAATATTTCCCAAGCTTTAACCTGAAGGTGGGAGTGAATGAAAAAGTCTGGTTGACTGATTACCTTTAACTATGGTGTGTTAGAAGTCTAGGCATTGAGATGGTCCTTGAAGAAGCACAGACCTTTTATTTCATTTTATTTTCAGATTTCTTTAACATTAATACTGACTTCTCCTTTATTAACATCTTAAAATAAAAGAAGTGGAAAATGTTTTTATTTTATAGAAAGACAAATACAGCATGGAATCAGGAGAACAGGATTTGAATTCTGTTTCTATTAACTACTTTGAAACTTTGAGCAAGTCATTAGTAGAGTAACAGAAATGGAATGTTCTCTATATTTCTAATCAACATCTGAATTCCGTGAATCTTTCTATTAAGAATGCCGAGCATTCCATTTGCAGCTAAATTAATAAAATTGAATTTTACACAATCAGTCACAGGTAAAAATCACAGAATTTAAATGTTTCTGTTAGGAATTTTAATTGTACATTAGAGTTTATGAGAGTATCACTTTATAGCATTGTTGTAAAACTTTGGTTGAATCATCATGCTTATTTTGAAATATTCATTTTACATATTTGCTCCTAAGAATGCGTTCTGCTAAATACTCCCTCCTGAATGCAAGATAGAAAGCAAAATTATGAACATTTTTGTAATAATTTGATACTTACAAGTGTAATTTGGGGGTTATTTGAATTTATAAAATTTGCATTTTATAATATAGAGACATGAATTTATAAATAAAAATGCAAATACTTATAAAAACGTAATAATACATCCACCGCAATGAAAAAGAAAATACAAGAAATATATATTAGAGTATAAAAATATTGTATGTGGTTATCTCTTGACTGAATCCTCTTGCCTTCATAAGACACTAAATTGTTTAGCTCTTTATCTATTATTATAATTTTAGGTATGTGTGAGGTGTAAATATGTGTGCTTTTTTTAAGGTATTTTTGTAAATTTGTCTAGAATTTTATTTAGTTCAATTCATCAATTGGATTACACAAAATGGTTTGCCTCTGATGCTCAGATTTTACTAAATAAAAGGAATAAAAGGCTTTATTTTAAAAAACTTGTATTATTATTGCTATAATTAAGGAGTCATATCCTAAAATTCAAGTGGGAAAACAATTGCTATTCCAAATACCAAAATAATACCAAATAATAGAACTTTTATTTAGTTACCTTATTTGATTAAAGAATCAAATAAGGTAACTAAATACCAAAATAATAGAACTCATATTTAGTTACCTTAATTTGATTAAAGAATTTAAGCCAGTCTCCAAGGGGTTGAAGCCTTTCTCTCTATCTCTCCCTTCCTGCAGCTTTCTCTTCCTTAACCATTCTTTCTCTTCATCACACACAAGGCAAAACATGGTTTCACATGGAACATTCAACCAATGGCAACTTGTTGATGGAATAATCTATATAATTTCCATAATTTTAAATATCTCTTTATAATGTTTAATTTATATTTAACATTGCAAATACTTAAACCCGTCATCCTCTAGGTGGCATATAATTATGAGCATTATAAGATACAGTTCAATGGTACTCAAAGATATGCCATTCCAATATTGGTGTGCCTTACCTCCCCATACATTATATTTAACTGTTTAGCCTTTCTTACTAATGCCAATGACATTAAATCCTGGCAGATCTTCTTGACTTTCAGCTCACCATAATTCTTTATAGAAATTCTTGCCAAAATTTTTGGCAGACTAGTTATTTGGATTCTCATAGATAATTCTGAGACCTTGTTAATATTTTCATGTTAATTGGAATTATATTAGAATACATTGACTTTAATTTATCATTAACATAATTATGGGCAATAACTGATCAAAGTATTACTCCTTGCTTTCAATTTGGGATGTATCGATTCTGATACAGATTAATTACTGTTGGATATACTGTGCATAGTAGTCACCCTAATGTTACCCAAATGAGAACAGCTTTGAATGTTCTCAGTCAAGCCCTAAATATAACCAACTAAAATTTTCAAATTTAGAAAACCAACAATAAACTCATTATTCACAGCCCCTCTTGACTTTTAATGCGGCTATCCACATTTACTTAAAACCACCCCTTGTCAGTGGACTTGCTCAGTGCATTTCTGCCTATGTCTTACACAAAAGGGAAATAAAATCTCAGATACAGTTTGAATGAAAACAAACCAACAAAAATTCCTGACATTGGAGAAGGTATTAAGGCAATATTAACTAACAAATTCCCTAGATGATGGCTCAACTTTCCCTTCCTATTTCTTATGTAGCCTGAGACTTGCTCCTTTAAGGTGATGAAGCATACATCTCTCTCCACCAACTGCAAGAGCAAGAATGGCACTTTAATTTATATTCCCCTCAAATTATAGTGATAATAATACCAGGAAATTTATATTGACACACTGCATGCCTCAGTGGGGCACCTTTTAAAGTTCCTAACATTTATTTCTGGATATTCTTATCCGTATTGCTTAGAACACAAGCCCTGTGACCAAGGGTTCCATGGAGTACAATGCCATGTTGAAATGAATGCCTTTTCATCATTTCTCTAAAATATTAAACCATAAATTTTGTGGGGTAGTTTTGTTTTTAAGATTTCAATACATGAGAAATTGAGAGCACAAATTTTATTATTTAAATGACCCCTCCCGATGTTCACTCCATCCCCCTTGCTCATATTCATTCATCGAACACAACTCTTTATTTTCTCGCACTCCAACTAGAAATAATAAAACGGTAAACATGGTTTCAGAAGAAACGACTACTGTTCTAAGAAAACTTCTACAGCAATACCGTCTGGTGCTAAGATACTACACAACTCTGGAAGCACCCAAATAGTGCAGGAGCTTCTTGGTACAATGTTTTCTAATCCTCCTATATCGCTCTTTTAGCCACTACACCTAAAGAAAAATAAGAGCTTTGGCTTATTGCAATTTCAAAGAAGATTTTAAAGGGTAAGTTTGGTGCTACTCTCATCTCCTTCAAGAAAAAGCTTCTTATCCTCAAGAGTTGCTGAGCTTTTGATAGTGTTGTTGCTGAAAGAGATTCACCACCTAGGCAAGTCCTCCGTTCTTAACCTGGAAGTAAGACCAATTCCGCAGGAACAGGTAAAATAGGTGTATTTCCTGTACTCAGCTAAGACGCCTCTCAATGAACAGAACAAACCTAAGCAATGCAAATAGTTCTGCGCTTTAAAACAACAATAACAAAAAGTTTGTTTCCAAAGGGTTTGGTTTTTGTCTTTATTTTTTCACGCTTGATAATACCCTTAACAGCCCAGGTGCTGAGTAACACACAAAGTAACTGTACAGAAACCAGGATCACAGCGTGTCTGTGTCAATTTCCTGAGGTGACTGTCAGAAAATCTGGACAGGCACCATTGTGTAGAGGGAATGAGGTCAGAATTCACTAAGGACCATTCACCCTGGGAAGGAATAGGACGGGACAGTCGGGCTCGAGAGCCAGGCTTTGGGAAAGGAGAGAAGGTGGGTCAGGGAGGACTTTGTGGAGAAGGCTTTGTCAGCGCGAGATCGGGTGAAGGGTGGCAGATAGGGGCGTTTGTGCACTGGCATAAGGTGGGAACGCAGGGACAGTAACAGTAGAGATGACCCTGTTTGGGGTGACCAGAGGGTCGGGGCCATCTACTGCTGCTAGTGTGGGAGCCTGGGGGCTGGAAGGTGAGGCGGGACTGCGAGCTGCAGGCAGCTGTCCCCAAGACGGAGAGGGGTTCAGGTTGCCAGCAGGTGGAGTTGAAATCAAACATCCCCTTGGGGACCACAGAGCAACACCCTCCCTGGACCCTCTGCCTGGAGGACGGGGAATCACAGCAGCTGGTTTGGGGTGCCTCCCAAACCAAAAGATGTTCTCTCCGCGCCAAGCTTTGACGCCCGACCCCCTGCACTCTCCCGCCTACTCACCGGTCCTAGGGGTAAAGCGCCATCCGGGGCGCTCGCGAGGGCTGCGCGGCGCAGGAGGCAGGCAGGGCCAGGCGGCGGTGGCGGCGCTGTCCTAAGAGCGCGACTGGGGCTGGGGGACACCGAGGCAGCGACAGCGGCGGGGGCGCGGGGAGCTGCAGGGGAGAGCAGTGAATCTGGAGCTGCTGCGCCGCGCGCGCTCTCTGCCCATCTCCGGCTTCGCTGAAGCTGCTACAGCTACTGCCGCTGGAGGGGAGGGAGGCGAGGGGGAGGGGAGGAGGCACGCGGTAGGGAGGGACGGAAGAGCAGGAAGGGTGGGGGGTGAGCAAGGGAAGAGGGGGAGATGGTCGCCCAGAGTTGAGGGGGTGGGGAGGGAGGCGCGCAGGAGCCCAGCAGAGGTTCCCACTAAATGAGCTTGGGAGGGGAAATGTAAGATGAGGCGATGGGTCTCTCCCCCGCCCTCCTTCTACCCTACCCTCCTTCCCCCTTCGCGCCCTTTCCTTGGGCTCTTCCTCTCGTGGCTCAGGCTGGGGGTTACCCAAGCTTGGCAGCAGCCGCGGCTTCAGCGCGCTGGTGCGAGTGCTGAGTCCGGGAGGCAGCCTCTACAGCTCTCCCCGCCACCGGCCTGTGGCACCTGTGCGCGCACACTGCCGCCCGCTCCATTGCGGCGGCTCCTGGACCAGGATCCGCAGCCTGTCGCCCTCCTTCTCTCCTCTTTCTGGGCAGATTATGATCCTACATGTGCATCCATGACATCTGTATAGTCCCCCATTGGTGTTTGTTTCCCTGGGCGCTCTTTGGCACTGGCTGTCCCGCCAGAAGGCGCCAGCAGGGAGCTCAATGCCGGCAACCATCGCCTGCCCCTTGGAGCTGTTGCCTGGGCAGGGGTGGCCTTGGTTGTTTACCGCCGGGGTTGACCAGCTAACGAGGTAAAAAAAGAAATTTATACATATATCGTTTTAACCCAATTGCCTCGGACCGTGTTCTCAATGATCTAGGAAGGTTGTAAGTGTGAAGGGCATAGTGACAGCCCATTACCTTCTGTCTTGGCTTCCTTCCTCCCTTTTCTCAACATTCTAAAAACCTAGGGATTGAAAGATCTCTGAATCTCTTTATCACAGAGCTTTTCATTTCCCCCTGCATTTTCCTAGGGTTGGTCCCGCTTTCGTAGTGTGGATTTTCGTTTCCTCTACTTGACTCTAAATCAATCCTGTATATTCGCAAACTACAAAGAGGCGCATGCAAATAGATACTGTACTGAGGGCAGATACACGCGCGAGATCCAGAGGGTGAGTTAACACACATTCAGTAAATATAAAAACAAGTGGAACATTATTAACTGATTTCTGTGAGCCGTAATTTTATTTTATAATTTTCACGTGGTAATTGGGGATAGACAGGGAGCAAGTAGATTATGTGTCTAAAAGATATGACTAGAAAAAAAAGTCTGGTAAAACTCTCCTCAAATAACATAACACATAAAGTGAGCTAATTATTCCCAGACATTCCCAGGAGGGAAAGAGATTCTGATTTTGTTTGGCTGGCTGGTTGTGTTGCTTTAAAAAAAAATGAAGTAATCTTTCAGTTGGTGGATTCGTTTTTTTAAAAGCCTAAAGGATCATAGTCTCTAGAATAAATAAGGTAGGCATTTCATTTTACATAAGTGTGTCTTATATAACAAATGTTCTCATATTTTAAAAAGTGCTCTCTTGACTGTAAATGCAATGTGGAAAAACATTTTCAATGCAATAGGCCATACCTAAATATTGATGAAAAACCTCTAGATTTTCCTGTATACATTCACATGAAGGAAAAAACAATGTTGGAGATAAAGTATTACTTGATGGGCTGGGCGGTATCAACTTGCTAGACTCTGTCCTGTTGAGTATATCTGCTAATGAAAATATTTGGTTCAACATTTACCTAATGACCTGACTGAGAGAACCACCTCCTTATTTAGGGAAAAAATATCTAATTATTCGAATACACCTCCCTTTTAAAAGGCATGTGTTACTGTCTTCAGAGATCCAGAGGTGTACCATGCAAATTCACCCACTGTTATTCTTTCAATAAAGACCATAGAAATAAAAGGTTGGCAAAGACTTACAATTCATTCAGCTCCCTAAGTCTTCTCAGTGGTGCCTATACTACAGAGGTGAACAATAAATTTTGCAAATGCCAGCGGCTACTTGGGCAGAGGATGGTTACCAAGAATTAATTAAATCTCTGTTTTCTCATTTCTGTTTATAATATTTCTCATCCCTTCCTTATTAAAGTAATTTACCTTTGAGAATTTTTACTATTTTCCTCCTGTAATTATGAAACTATAACGCAATAGCTTATAGTCTCATTTTATGGTTCTAAAGTGGCAAAGACAAATACGCAAGCTATAATGCCTTACAGCCAAGCAAAGGAAAGGGGTGATGTTTGGAGTAGAGAAAGCAAGCTTCTAACTCCTCCCTCCAGCTTACATCCCCAGCCGCTTGGCCCACCAGAGACAAGAACAGGATGATAAGCAATGGAATGGCATTGAACTCTCCTGCTGAAGGACTTGCATTTCAATGTAGATTCTGAGGCTGGGTGAAAACTTCTCTGTCACCTTTACTACAGCATTCTCACCCATTTATATTTCTTTCCCCTTCTACATCTCTATTACTGTTGCACTATGTTATGCATTACACCATGGGAAAATTAATCAATTAATACAATAAAAGCTTAATTTTAAAACCCTGACTCTTTGAACTTATTTAATTGAAAACAAATTCTCATGCTGAAATTTTCTAAAATCAGAAAGATTCAAAACCCTGTCTTTGAACTGATACTGCATGAGTGCCAGATATTGGTTAGCAAAGGAAATATCATTGCTCTATTTATTGAACACATATTCAATTAGCACTCCCTGTAGGCAGCAATATGTTAGGCCCCAGGGATATCACAGTTAAGAAAATTGCTAACTGTGCCCTTGTGAGGCTTAAGAGTCCAGTGATACAATAAAAAAAGTTTTATCACTAAGAAAGACGTTCTAGTAATAATGATGATCATGATAAATTTCAAGCTTAAAGAAGAAATATTTAATAATTTAATTATAGGCATTAAAAAGATTAGGAGTAAAGAAAGACAGATTATGAGCCTCTGCTATAACCAGTCCTTATGTGAGCTGCTGAAGAAAAGAGGAGAATGACGGGTTAGTTAAGAGAGTCACATTTGTTGTAGTAACAGAATACAGTGGGTACTTTTTAGGCAAGAGAAAATTTTGGTGAGCCTTAACTTTAAAAAATAAGCATCTGTTTTTATTCAAAGTGAGAAAAATGGAGAATAATAAATGTTTCTGAGGTTGCAGACACTTCTAAAAATTACATATGTACTATATCATACATATGATTAGCACTGCTGAATACATGGACTGAATCTATTATGAAGACAGTGGCAAAAATTAGCAGGTTTCCTTCTTTCTTCCCAAAGAATGTACCAAAGAATCAAAAGGAAAAAAATCACTCACAACTTTTTTTCAGTAAAATCAAAAGACAGGTAATCTGCAGTTTCCAAAATTTGTATGTGAGATCCCAGAACTGCTGAGATCAACCAGAAGTCTCAGAAGTGAAAGAAAGAAGGGCAGAGAGTGGGCCCAATGATACCTAATTTGAGAATACACCAAAAAAAAAAAAAAAAAAAAAAAAAAACTTCTTGAAAGTGAGACTTTCACTCAGAAGAACAAAATCAATTTCCACTGGTTACAACAATGGATTCAGGAAATAGAGTTGGGGTATAGCTGCAAAAGGAGGAAAGAAAGAAACCTGACAAATGCAGGGGACTCAGTTGTGGCTAATCTCAGAAAACCTACAAAAATGTGATTCCTGAAGGTAAGTTCTTACTGTCACTTACGAAACCTTTATTTCTTGTTTGCACCAATCAGTATAGGAACTGGAATTTCCTACAGTGTGGATAGTGAAAGAAGCCCACTTGGATGTGTCTTGCAGGAAGTAATGGAGTGATACACAAAAATTAGGCAGAGGAGTGAATCTATCTCTGTAGCAGCAGTGAAGAGAAACCCTTTGAAAACCCCAGGAGTTATTTTCCTCTCCTTTTCCCAAGAACCTACATAAGAAAAATTTAACTCAGTTATATATGAGTAATTGAAAAAAGAATGGACACACTGTCAACACAAAAGTAGTATAGGAAAAGACTTCCAAAGGAGTAGTAAAATATATCAATTGTTGAAGAACACACACCATAGCAATGATGTCATGAAGAAGTTGAGAAATTTGTTCTAACATTACAGCAGAAATTTTCAAGAAGGCACAATGAAGGAATTGCTTTTATAAATGAAAACTACAAGGTACAAATGCAAGAACTTGGGAAGGGATGATGAGAGACAATAGGAGCTGGTGACACATAGCTGGGGGAACTCAGAAAAGAAGTGAGGAAAAAAAATACCTTCACGAATTAAGACTATAAATGGAAGAATTACAAGATAAAATGGACACTGAGATAGACACAGCAAGGAAAAGAAGAGACAGAAATAAGGAAGGCTAACAAAATGAAATGCAAGTAAAGAAAAAATAGACAGGATTAGAGAGAATACAAAAGATGGAGAAGATAGGGAATGGTAATCCAATAGATACATAATTAGAGAAAAGAAATAAGTGATGGGAAAATAAATATGTCAATATATTATTAAAGAAAGAAACATTCTTCAAATGAAAGATGACTTGATATTTCACTTTGAAAAGAAACAATGATTACCAGGAAAAATTGCCCCAGAATCATTGACATTGAGATGTGTCCTAGTACAGTAACTAGAATTTAAATTTAAAAAAGAATTTTTTTAGGCATGCAGGCAAAGCAATCAGTAGCTTATAAAGAAAAATACTGATACTGGCCTCAGAAGTCTTCACTGCAACTTTAGTGGAATCGAGCCATTCAATATCAGTGCAACAAAGCTTACAAGAAACCAAAGAAAATAAAATAAAACTAAGGTTTTCTTTTTCTTTTTAGCTAAATGGTTTTTCAAGTACAATGGGAATAGACAAACAATGGTGAAGATGCAAGAACTCAGGGACTATTATTCTTATGAAACCACCTTCAGGAAATCACTAGAATAATGAATGAAATTCAGCTTTCTAATAAATAAATAAAAGAGACATGCTGAATCAAGGACTGATTTTCAAGTTAATACATTCAGTGTATTTATCTACTGATCTACAATGTTAGAATATGAGAATTAAAGCAGTATAATGCAATATAAACCTTATAGGAAAAATAGACTCTGACAATATAAAAATGATATGAGATATAATGGCATCAATTGTCTAATGGCTGAGAGTCCAACAAAACCACTTAAAAGAACAAATAAGTAGCATGACATTTAGCAACACAAAGATGAAATTTAATCCAAATTATTTGATAAATTATCTAGTCAAGCAGGAAGGCATGGAGGAATAAGAAACACTAATTTTTATCATTACCTACTTTAACAAACTAACAGAAACATTTCTTACTTTAACTAAAATATAGAGCAATGCAGATAAATAATTACAAAAGTAACACAGAACAAAATGAAAATCTTTGTAAATATTAAGAATACATATATACGCTGGGCGTGGTAGCTAACACCTGTAATTCTAGCACTTTTGGAGGCTGAGGCGGGCAGATCGTTTGAGCCCAGGAGTTTGAGACTAGCCTGGTGACATGGTGAAGCCCTAACTCTACAAAAAAACACAAAAATTAGCCGTGCGTGGTGGCACACTCCTGTAGTCCCAGCTACTTCGAGGGGCTGAGGCAGGAGGATAGCTTGAGCCTGGGAGATTAAGGCTGCAGTGAGCCATGATTCACTTAACTTCAACCTGAGTGACAAAGCAAGACCTTGTCTCAAACACACACACACACACACACACACACACACACAGAAAAAATAAAACAGAACACAAAATGAAGGAGTTTTACAAAATAACAAGTGAAAACATAACACAATATGTCAGAACCAAAAGTAAGTATTTCCATTATATCAATAAATGTAAATAATCTCCTGTTTTATAGACAAAAATAAAGATTTTTATACTTTATCACTGAAAATAGAGTTCTGTGTTTTATATCTACCGCAAGAAAACTCAGAACACTTAAAAAATAAAAAGATGAACAAACATTTATCAGGGAAATGGAAACAAAGAGTAAGCAGGCGTTGCAATCTTAGTCAGAGATAAGGTGGCATAAAGCCTAAAACATGTTAAACAAGATAAAGAAGGATATTTTAAGGTGATCACAGAACAGACACCTTGCTATGAAAACAAAGCAATTATGAACATCTGTGTAGAAGATTATATATCACCAGCATTCCTACAGCAGCAATTATAAGATATTCAAGGAGCTAGCATGAAGCCCACCATTGATAAGTCTTAATACTTTATAAAATATAAGTAAAGTTTTGAATATTAAATGTCAATACACTTTTCAGGCCAATCTCACTTAACAGCGTCAGTGCAAAAATCCTAATTAAAATATTAACAAATGAACCTCAATAGCACATTACTGTATCAACACTAAGTGTATTTTTCTTTTTTTCCAAAAAGGTAGGAATGTTACTGTATTAGAAAATCTATTAACATACTTAGTCACTTCCCTTATCTATAAAATGGAAGTGCAATATTAGTATCTACTTTATAGGATCATTTTTTCAATGATTAAAAGAGTCATTGCATACCAAATCTTTAGGAAGAATGCCTGGCATAGAGTGAGTCTTTCATAAATGTTATCTGTTGTGTTTATCAGCATTCATAAGATGACTATGCTTGTGATAGTAATATAAGTCTTCTTATCATTTTCTTAAATAATAAACTTCTTATGTTAATTTATTAATATTGTATTCTCATCTTTTATCCCTTCTCCTTGGGGTTTTTATTATTGCTCTTTTAGGCCCTCTGTTCTTTTGTATTATCTTTAACATCCTACAAAAATTAAAATCAATTTGTAAATTCAGAGAATACCTAAGACCAACCACTTATTTTAAAATAATTTCAAATAATAATAGTAATATATGAGTGCACTACTTCTGTTTTAAATAGACTTTATTTTTCAGGGCAGTTTTAGGTTCACAGCAAAATTTAGCAGAAGGTAGAGTTCCCACATAGCGTCCACCACATACATGCACAGCCTCCCCATTGTCAACATCTCTCATGAGAGGCGTATATTTGTTATAAGCAATAAACTTACATTGATACATTATCATCACCCACTGTCTATAGTTTACATTAGGGTTAACTCGATGTTATACATTCTATGGATTTTGACAAATGTGTAATGGCATGTATCTATTATTGCAGTATCATACAGAGTAATTTCACTGTCCTAAAAATTCTGTTTCACCTATTCATTCCTCCCTCCCCCAAAGCTGCTGACAACTACTGATCCTTTTACTCTATCTATAGTTAGAGATGTCCTAGAATGTCGTGCAGTTGAAATCATATGTTGTGTAGCCTTTTCAGACTGGCTTCTATCACTTGGTCATAAGCATTTAAGTATCCTCCATGTCTTTATTATTGTTATTATACTTTAAGTTCTGGGATACATGTGCAGAATGTGCAGATTTGCTCCATAGGTATAAACGTGCCATGGAGGCTTGCTGCACTCATCAACCTGTCATCTACATTAGATATTTCTCCTGATGCTATCCTTCCTCTAGCCCCCCACCCCCCGAAAGGCCCCAGTGTGTGATGTTCCCCTCCCTGTGTTCCTGTGTTCTCATTGTTCAACTCCCCCTTATGAGTGAGAACATGCGGTGTTTGGTTTTCTGTTCCTGTGTTAGTTTGCTGAGAATGATGGTTTCCAGCTTCATCCATGTCCCTGCAAAGGACATGAACTCATCCTTTTTTATGGCTGCATAGAATTCCATGGTGTATATGTGCCATGTTTTCTTTATCCAGTCTATCATTGATGGGCATTTGGGTTGGTTCCAAGTCTTTGCTATTGTGAACAGTGCTGCAATAAACATACGTGTGCATGTGTCTTTATAGTAGAATCATTTATAATCCTTTGGGGATACCCATACCAGAACATTGCTTGCTGTGCTTAAGAATTAGATCAAAGTGAGACAGATGACCAAAAGCAACAGTGTCCTCAAGCTATGATAGGTCAAAGCACTGAAAAGCCGTATGTCCTCTATCCTGGGCAATTGCAGAGACAAATATTTTGTGCTCAAACATAAAATCACAGCAGATATATTTTCTGGTGTCTTGGCAATGAGCTAGCTGGGAGCTGTGACTCCCCTTTACCCTAGTGGAATGGACAGTAAAGCTATCAGTTCCCCAGGCCTCCAGGTGTTATCATCACTGTATAAACAAGTCATTTGCACAAACAGTGTTTCAGGTCTTGCGAATAAACCTCCCCCTGAAGAGCTGGTCCCTAATCTGACTACTGCTCCACCCCTTTTTAAACATTCTCAAGGGCACTCTCACCCTAGTCCTATAAAAAATTAGAGGAAGAGAGGACAGGTTTCCTTCCTGGAGAACAGTGTTCTTTACAATTTCCCATTGTGTTTTCACCCTTACGTGCTTCTCCAAGGGAGAAAAGAATGTGGCAAACACTGTTCCTCTGTTTATAAATTTCCCCAATAGAGCTTGTTTTTTTGCAGACCAGGTGGCATTGTGACCTAACTCTCTGCAGGACTGTAGGGAAAAAGAGACAAATTCACATTGTTCTTTTAAAAATATTTATATTTCATTTAAGCACCACAGTTCTGTTAGTGGCACATAACAATTAATTAGGTCATAAATTCACTAGTCACATTTTAGTGCTTTTAATAAGATTTCAGAGAAACAACATTCTCATCAGCTATAAATCCACAAATCATATTTCAGAATGTTAGTTCTGAAGGTAATACTTTCAATTTTTATTGATTCTAATTGGATGCAATTTAAAAAGGCACAATTTTCTAATACTGACACCAAGCTCTAGAGGTGCACCAAATCTAGACCTCAATCTCTCATATACTATATGGAAAATTTATCAGTAAGCTGACACTGAAAATCCTCTATGAGAGTAACATTTATAAACTTAAGATGTAGAAATATATGTGAGTTACAAAAGATTACTATTATTTAAATAGTGGTAGAAGTATAATATAATGATTTACATAATTTGTGAATTATATTTACTGCAATAAATAATAATTATCCAGAAGATGGTGTACTTTAAATACCACTTTAGCTAAGAGACCAAACAATACAGTTCTTCCAGCAAAAATGGAAGCTTATTATTCTTTCTTATGTAACAGCCTCAGGGGTTTCAATCATCTCTCCCTTCTTGCCTTTTACTATAAGCAGTCAGGAGGAATCAAGACCCTCTTTCAACACTTTTCTTAGAAATCTCCTTGGCTAAATACCCAATTTTATTGCTTATAAGTTCTACCTTCCACAAAGCACTAAAACACAGTTTAGCCATGTCTTTGTCATTTTATAACAGGGATCACCTTTTTCATTTCCCAAAATATATTTTTATTTTCATTTCAGACCTCACAGGAATCACCCTTAGTGTAAACATTTCTAGCCTGTACCACAAAACTCTTTCAACCTCTACCCATTACCCAGTTCCAAAGCTGCTTCCACATTTTTTGATATTTGTTACAGCAGTACCTCCATCTTTGTATCAAAATCTGTATTAGTCTGGTTCTCCAGAGAAACAGAATGTAGTAGGAGTTTTTAGTAGAAAGAAAATTTTATGTATGTATATACATACACAAATATATGTATTTATAAAGAGATTTACTATAAGATATTTGTTCATGAGATTATGGAGGCTAAGAAGTCCCAAGATCTGCAGTCAGCAAGCTGGAGATCAAAGAGAATTGATGCAGTAGTCCCATTTTGCTTCCCAAGGCATGAGAATCAAGAGAGCCTAATAAATTCCAGTGTAAGTGCAGAAAAAGTCCAATGCTGAAGCTCAAGCAGCCAGGCTTCCTCTACTCTCAGGAAGGCCTTTTTGTTTTCTTTAAGCCTTCAGTTGATTGGATAGAGCCTGCCTAAACTAGGAAGAACAATTTGCTTTACTCACTTGACTGATTCAATTGTTAATCTCATCTAAAAATTCCCCTATAAACAAATTCAAAGTAATGTTTAACCAAATGTCTAGGCACCCTGTGGCCTGGTAAAGTGGAACATAAAATTAACCATCATGGGTGGTGAAAAACTTCATTTTGAAAGCTTGTGATCCTTTGTAAGTTTGCAGAAACAACGTCCTTTCATGAGTCAGAATGTAGTATATAGCTTTATCTATCTCTAAGGGAGGTCAGGAAATGTAGTCTGTAGCTGGGTGGACATAAATTGACCTTAAACTTGGAGGTTTCTAGTACTTCAAAGAAAAAGAGAACTTACACTAGAAACAATCTATCTCTGTCTGCATTCACATGCATGTGTGTTGCACATTATTACCCTACTTTTTGTACCTAGAGTAGCAATAAAGAGGTCTTTTATACAGATGCCTTCAAAAAATTTTAAGAGGCCACTGACAAACAACCAGAGAGGTCACAGAATATTAACTGTTTTATTATGTTCTTCTCGTCTAAGTCCAGTGATCTTCTTTAACCTACCTTCTCTTCTTTTTACTTTTATTTTGGGCTCAGGAGTATATGTGTGTTTGTTATGTATGTGAATTGTGAGTCACAGGGTTTTGATGTACAGATTATTTCATCACTCCAGTAATAGGCATAGTACCCAATAGGTAGTTTTTCAATCACCACTCTCCTCTGAACCTCCACCCTCAAGTAGGTACCGATGTCTGTTGTTTCCTGCATTGTGTCTATGTGTACTCAATGTGTAGCTCCCACATATAAGTGAGAACATGTGACAATTGGTTTTCTGTTCCTGCATTGGTTTGCTTAAGATAATGGCCTTCAGCTCCATTCTTGTTGCTGCAAAGGATGTGATCTCATTCTTTTTCATGGCTTTGTATTATTTCATGGTGTAAATCTACCACATTTTCTTTATTTAGTCTACCATTAATGAGCATTTAGGTTGATTCCATGTCTTTGCTCTTGTAAATAGTGCTACAACGAGTACACAAGTGTATGTGTCCTTATGGTAGAACAATTCATATACCTCTGGGTATGTACCCAATATTGGGATTTCTGGGTCAAATGGTCATTCTAAGTTCTTTGAGAAATTGCCAAACTGCTTTCCACAGTGGCTGAACAAATTTCCATTCCCACTAGCAGTGTTTCAGCATTCCCTTTTCTCTACAGCTTCATCAGTATCTGTTATTTTTTGACTTTTTAATAGCCATTCTGACTGATTGTGAGGTGGTATCTCATTGTAGTTTTGATTTGCATTTCTCTAATGATTAATGATGTTGAGCATTTTTTTCATATGCGCCTTGACCATGCATATGTCTTCATTTGAAAAGTGTGTGTTCATGTCTTTTGTCCACTTTTTAATGAGGTGTTTGCTTGTAAATTTCTTTAAGTTCCTTATAGATTCTGGATATTAGTCCCTTTTCAGATGCATACTTTGCAAATATTTTCTCTTATTCTGTAGTTTGTCTGTTTACTGTATTGATAGTTTCTTTTAATGTGCAGTAACTTTTTAGTTTAATTAGGTCTCATTTGTCAATTTTTATTTTTGTGGTAATTGTTTTTGGCATCTTCACTCTGAAATATTTGCCAAGTGCTATGTCCAGAACAGTATTTCCTAGGTTACTTTTCAGGGTTTTTATAGTTTTAGGTTTTGCATTTAAGTCTTTATTCCATCTTGGGTTGATTTTTGTTTATGGCATAAGGAAGGGGTCCAGTTTCAATCCCTTACATATAACTAGCCAGTTATCTCAGTACCACTTGTTGAATAGGGAATTCTTTCCCCATTGCTCCTTTTTGCCAACTTAGTTAAATATTCAATTATTGTAGGTGTACAGCTATATTTATAGACTCTCTATTTTGTTTATTCTGTCTATGGGTTGATTACTGTAGCCTTGTAGTATAGTTTGAAGTCAGATAATGGGATGCCTCCAGTATTTTTCCCCCTTTAGGATTTCTCTGGCTATTCAAACTCTTTTGGTTTCATATAAATTTTAAAATAGTATTTTCTAGTTCTGTGAAGAATGCCATTGGTAGTTTGATATGAATAGCATCGAGTCTGTAAATTTTGGGGGGCAGTATGGGCATTTTAACAATACTTATTCTTCCTATCCATAAGCATAGGGTGCTTATCTATTTATTTGTGTCATCTCTGAATTCTTTCAGCAGTATTTTGTAAATCTCATTGTAGAGATCTTTCACTCCCCTCGTAAGTTGAATTCCTGGGTATTTTAGGTATTTTATTTGTTTTGTGGCTATTATGAATGAGTTTGCATTCTTGATTTGGCTCTCAGATTGAATGTAACTCATTTTTGCACATTGATTTTGTATCCTGAAACTTTGCTGAAGTTGTTTATCAGATACAGGAGCTTTTGGGAAGAGACTATGAGGGGTTTTCTAGGTATAGAATTATATCATCTGCAAACAGGGATAATTTGACTTCCTCTCTTCCTATTTGGATTCCTTTTATTTCTTTCTCTTGCCTGATTTATCTAGTTAGGACTTCCAGTACTACGTCAACTAGGACTGATGAGAGTAGGTATCCTTATCTTGTCCTGGTTCTCAAGGACAATGCTTCTAGGTTTTGTTCATTCAGTATGATGTTGGCTTCAGGTTTATCATAGATGCTTCATTATTTTCAGATATTTTGCTTCGATGACTAGTTGTTGAGGGATTTTAACATGAAGGTGATGACAGCTGGCAGCTGTCCAAAGCAACTGCTGCCATGGTACCAGCTGTGGTGGGGTGCAGGTGGTGGAGTATGGGTTTGAGCCATGGGTACTTAGGTGTGGATACTGAGGTGAACTGTCCCTGGGATCTGCTGCCCTGGGAGCCCACATCTGGGAGCCACTGCGGTGGGGCCAAGCTGGGCTAAGCCACCCACTGGTTGGGGAATGGCACCAACAAGCATGGAGGGACCCCAAGGCAGAACTTGACCCAAGGAAGTGATGTGCTTGTGCATGGAGTGTGAGGGCTGGTCCCGAACATGGAGCAGTGGCCGCATTTCAGGGCCCTGCAGTGGGAAGTGGGAGTGGCCCTTCGTGAGTGGGACCTGGCCAGCATCATGCCCACCCTGCCAAGGGCACTGTGCCTTGGTGGGAGGCTCAGCGTGGGGCCATCCTAGGATGCCTACCAAGGATCCACCCCATGTTGGGGTGACAGCTGAGTCTGGTGCTCCCAATGGCTGTGTCCATGGCCCACAATCCACTCCTGAAGGCATACTTATGGCATGGTCATGAGCTAAGGAAGGGGGAGCCCCTGTTCACCACTAAGAACTGGGGCTGCTGGGGAACTTGCAAATGTCATCCCTTCCCCAGAACCTGGCAAGGGCCGGGAGCCCGGCCCCAGGCTGCAAAGTGTCAGACAGGGCAGTAGGAGCAGCTTCAGAGGCAGCAGTGGTGGCAGTGTGTCCCCTGTGCCCCATGTCCCTAAGGCAGCTGACTGTGCCACACGCATCCTCACATGGTCTGGCAGGACCTGCTCCCAGGCCCAGAGCCTCCACTGCAGCTTTGACCTTGCTCTCTGCCATGTCCTGGGAGCCTACAAGCATCTGGCCAATGGTGCAGCTTGGACTCACAGGACAAGCCCAGGAAGCATGGGGTTCATTTGGGTGGAGTTGGCCAGGGTCACCGTGCCACCTGCACCTTGCCTGCTGCCACTGTGGCAAGACACAGAGTAGGGGCATAGCCTGGGACAGGGACAGTTGGGAGCCCTGCCCCTCCCAAGTTGGCAGGGCGGGAGCTCCCCAGGAACAGCTGCAGCCATCCAGGTTGTGGCTGTGGGCCCAGGCTTCCAGAAGCTCTCTCAGGGCCCAGAAGGGCCCCCATGTCACCACACGTTCAGGGGTGCCTGCTCCCAGTGCCTGCCCTCACCCTGCTGCCGGCACTCTGAGATGGGAGTGGAGTTAGTGCCAAGCCCTGGAGCTGTCACAGCTTGGCCTGGGGTGCAGCAGGGCCCCCTGCTGCATCGGCCCGTCCAGACTTTGGGCACCAACAAGTGTGGGAGGAGGCTCATATGAGGCTAGGAGCAGCTCAGCCTGTGGGTGCCCCTTGGCCTGAGTGGCCTGGGTACCATGAGTGGTGGCGGGAGGTAGACAGGCCCTTCTGCAAGAAGAGGTGAGTCCCAGTGAGGCTCCACCTTCAGCCAGGGAGGGCCTGAAGGTTGGGGCTGGGCTGCTAGTCCTGCAGATTGATGTGGGGACTTGTGATGCCTTTTCTTGGCTGTTCATGCCCACCCATGAACCAATCGGCATGCATTTCCTCCCCTCTGAGGCCCACAAAAGCCCTGGGTTCATCAGATCAGAGAAGAGGACAAAAAGACAATGAGACGACTGGCCTACAGAGAAGAGCTACCCTCTGTGGGTCTCCTCTGAGCTGTTCTAACACTTAATAAAGCTCCTCTTTGTCTTGCTCATCCTCCACTTTTCTGCATACCTCATTCGTCCTGGATGCAGGAGAAGAACTTGGGCCAAGGCACCACAGGCCACAGAGGTTTCTGGACAGAAAAAGCAACATTGCAAAAATCCCATATCAAAGGGATGTTGCATTTTATTGACAGTCTTTTCTGCATCTATTGAGATGATCATGTGGATGTTTTTTGTTTTGTTTATGTGATAAATCACATCTTTTGATTTGCATATGTTGAACCAACCTTGCATCCCAAGGATAAAGCCTACTTGATAGCAGTGGATTCACTTTTTGATATTATGCTGGATTCAGGATTCAGTTTGCTATTATTTTGTGAGGATGTTTGCATCTATGTTCATCAAGATATTGGCCTAAAGTTTTCTTTCTTTGTTATGTTTTTGCCAGATTTTCGTATAAGAATGATTCTGGCCCCACAGAATGAGTTATGAAGAAGTCCCTCTTCCTCAATTTTTGGGAGCAGTTTCAGTAGGAATGATATCAACTCTGCTTTATACATCTAGTAGAATTCAACTATGAATCTGCCTGGTCTTGGGCTTTTTCTGGTTGGTAGGCTTGTTGTTACTGTTTCAATTTTGGAACTTGTTACTAGTCTGGTCACAGATTAAATTTGTTCTTGGTTCAATCTGGGAAGGTTGTATTTTTCCAGAAATTCATTCATTTCTTCTAGGTTTTCTAGTTTGTGTACATAAAGGTGTTAGTAGTAGTCTCTGAGTGGTTTTCATATATCCATGGGGTTGGTGGTAATGTCCCCTTTGTTTTTTTCTGATTGATTGTGTTTATTTGGATCTTCTTTCCTTTTTTTATTTTTTAGTATATCTAGTTGTCTATCCATCTTATTTATTCTCTTAAATAACAAATTCCTAGATTTGTTGATCTTTGCATGGTGTTTCATGTCAAATTCCTTCAGTTCAGCTTCAATTTTGGTTATTTCTTTTATACTGCTAGTTTTGGATTTGGCTTGCTTTGTTTTTTACTCTATCTGTGATGTTAGGTTGTTAATTTGAGATATTTCTAACTTTGGATGTGGGCATTTAGCACTATAAACTTCCCTCTTAATACTGTGTCAGCTGTATTCCAGAGATTCTTAATACATGTGTGTTTTTTCTCATTAGTTTCAAAGATTTCTTGATTTCAGTCTTAATTTTATTGTTTATCCAAAAGTCATTAAGGAACAGGTGTTTAATGTCCATGTAATTATATGGTTTAGAGCAATTTTCTTTATATTGATTTTTATTTTGATTGTGCTGTGGTCTGAGAGTGTGGTTGGTATTAATTCAATTTTTCTGAATTTGCTGAGAATTGTTTTATGACCTCTTGTGTGTTCGATTTTAGGGTATGTGCCATATGCATATGAGGAGAATGTTTATGCTATTGTTTTGGGGTGGAAAGTTCAGTAGATGTCTGTTAGGTACATTAGGTGGAATGTCGAGTACAGATCCCAAATATCTAGGTTAGTTTTCTGCCTCTATAATCTTCCTAATACTGTCAATGAGGTTTTGAAATCTGTTACTATTGTTCTATGGTTATCTAAGCCTCTGTAGGTCTCTACGAACTTGTTTTATCAATCTAGCTACTCCTGTGTTAGGTGCATATATATTTAGAATAGCAAGGTCTTCTTGTTGAATTGAACCCTTTACCATTATGTGATGCTCTTCTTTCTTTTTTAATTGTCGTTATTTTGAAGTCTGTTTTCTGAAATTAGACTAGCAGCTTCTGCTTTTTTCTGTTTTCCATTTTCTTGGTACATTTCTCTCCATCCCTTTTCTTCAAGCCTATGGAGGTCATTGTATGTGAGATAAGTCTCTTGAAGACAGCATACCAATGAGTCCAACTTCTTGATCCAATGTACCGCTCTGTGCATTTTAATTGGGGGCATTTAGTGCATTTACATTCAAGGTTAATATTGATATGTGCTAATTTGATTCTGTCATCTTGTTAGCTGGTTATTATGCTGACTTGATTGGGTAGTTGCTTTATAATGTCAATGGTCTTTGTACTTAAGTGTGCTTTTGTGGTGGCCAGTAAGGGACTTTCCTTTCCATATTTAACATTCCCTTCAAGACCTCTTTTAAGGAAGATCTGGTGGTAACAAATTCCCTTAGCATCTTCTTTTCTGAAAAGGGTCTTATTTTTCCCTTGCTCATTAAGGTTAGTTAGGCTGCATATGAAATTTTGTATTGAACTTTTTTCTTTAAGAATGCTGAATATAGGCCCTTAATCTCTTCTGGTTTGTAGGATTTCTGTCAAAGGACCTACTGTTAGACAGATGAGTTTCCCTTTGTAAGTGATCTGCTGCTTCTTTCCTAGCTGCCTTTAAAATTTTTTCTTTCAATCTTGGAGAATCTGATGACTGTATGTTTTGGGGATGGTCATCTTGTGTAGTATTTTCCTAGAGTTCTCTGAATTTCCTGAATTTGCTTTTTGTCACTTGATATGGTTAGGTTGTGTCCCGACCCAAATCTCATTTTGAATTCCCACCTGTTGTGGAAGGGACCCGGTGGGAGGTAACTGAATCATGGAGGCAAGATTTTACTGCACTGTTCTCATGATAATGAATAAGTTTCATGAGATCTGATGGTTTTATAAAGAGTAGGTCCCCTGCACAAGTTCTCTCTCTTTGCCTGCTGCCAATCCATGTAAAATGTGACTTGCTCCTCTTTGCCTTCTGCCATGATCATGAGGCCTCCTCAGCCATGTGAAACTGTAAGTCCATTAAACCTTTCTTTTGTAGATTGCCCAGTCTCGGGCAATGTCTATATCAGCAGTGTGGAAAAGGACTAATGTAGTAAATTGGTTTCAGTAGAGTGGGGTGCTGCTGAAAACATATCCAAAAATGTGGAAGTGACTTTGGAACTGGGTAACAGGCAGAGGTTGGAACAGTTTGGAGGACTCAAAAGAAGACAGGAAAATGTGGGAAAGTTTGGCACTTCAGAGACTTGTTGAGTGGCTTTGCCCAAAATGCTGATAGCAATATGAACAATAAAATGCAGGCTGAGGTGGTCTCAGATGGAAAAGAGGAACTTGTTAGGAACTGAAGCAAAGGTGATTCTTGTTATGTTTTAGCAAAGAGACTGGTGGCATTTTGCCTCTGCCCTAGAGATTTGTGGAACTTTAAGCTTTAGAGAGATGATTTAGGGTATCTGGTGGAAGAAATTTCTAACCAGCAAAGCATTCAAGAGGTTACCTGGGTGCTGTTAAAGGCATTCAGTTTTATAAGGGAAGCAGAGCATAAAAGTTCAGAAAATTTGCAGCCTGACAATGTGATAGAAAAGAAAATCTTAGTTTCTGAGGAGAGACTAAAGCTGGCTGCAAAAATTTGCATAAGTAACAAAAAGCTGAATGTTAATCCCCAAGACAACGGGGAAATGTATCCAGGGCATGTCAGAGGTCTCCAAAGCAGCCGCTCCCGTTACAGGCAGAGAGACCTAAAAGGGGAATATGGTTTACAAGCATATAAGCTGTATATAAGCATTGTACTATAGTTGATAAAGTTATTTCTCCTGAGGATATGAATGATCAGTTCTGATACTGCTAAACATGTGGACAGGAATTGAACAATTAAGCAAATAATAAAGTAAAGTAAGTAAATAAATAAAGAATGGTGGTTTCTCACTGTAGGAATGGGAGTTTACAGATAAACAAGGGAGTAGACTAGAATGATCCTGGTAAAGAACTCATGTTTAATTTAATATAGATACAGATGGTTATATATAAAATATTTATAGAGTTCATTATTATTATTTATGGTAGTTATATTCTATAAAGTCATTACAAACACTGAATTAGCAAATGAAGAACAATTGTCCAAGACAAAAGTATAGGGTTAGTTTTCTGTTAGCCTCTGGTTATAACGTTTTCATTAACCAATCAAGTATGTAACCTGTTTTATGTGTATTTCTGTTTTAACTCACCTCATTTAAAATATAGTGTTGGTTTATTAATATTGAACTCCCAGCCATCAATACTATATATATATATATATGTATGTGTGTGTATATATATACACACACACAACAATACTATATATATGTGTGTGTATGTATATGTATATATATAGAGAGAGAGTTACAAATTGTTCCAAGTTTGGTCATTAGGAACTCTTTCCATTGGCTCCTGTGCTCCTGTACAAGGGATATATATATATATATACATAGCTAGATAGATAGAAAGACAGATAGATAGATATATTACATATATAACCCTTGCCTGAAGGAAGCTTATCTAATCCAAGTATTCTCTTCATAAGGTACAATACAACCTTCTGTCACTTAGGAATACTAGGAAAGCACTGTAGCACCACACTTGAGGGGCCACTTTAAACAGGAAAATAACATAAAGCACAAAAAATGTGCAAAACATAATGCTAAGTATACCACAAAAGGACACTTGTTTATATTATGATAGTTAAAACAAGAAGGCAGAGTGTTGCCTTGTTCTACTTCAGTTAGGATGTACATGTCAGGTCACTCATTTTTTTTTTTTTTGCTGTCCTGCACAGGTACATAAATTTTCAAGTAGGAAAAGTCACAAGTATGGAATCTACAAATAAAGAGATCTACTGTATGTATACAATCACAGGTTAGTGTACACACTTCTATTTCTTTGCTCTATTAGCTGAGAGAGCTTAAAATAAGGGATATTCTTATAATAGCAAGCACACTTATTGTCCAGATCTCAGTTTCTAATATCATTTTCCAATGACAGGAAGCAAGGCTCCCTCGAGAGATGGCAGCTTCTAGAACTGGAGCAGAAAATATGTAAGATTAACCTGCAGCATTTTGAAGTTCCAGAAAGTGAAAACTTGCTAACAAAAAGGCCCCCAAAATACATTAGTGGGAGTATGTATGTCAAAAGAGTACAGGAGCTAACCGAAGGAGCACTTAATGGCCAAACTTGGAACAATTTGAGTACAAAATAAAGTATAAGTATCTATGAGTACATACTGATATAAATTTAAAAATTTGACCAATTAATAAATGAAGAGGGAAATCTTTCATGTGGAAGAATTCCAAAAAATTTATGTAGGTACCCTTCCTTCAAGCAGAGAGAACATAACTTTTCATCCCTTAAGTGTGGGCTGTGATACTGACTTACTTCCAAAGAGTACAGCATGAAACAGAGGAATAAGAGTAACTTCACAGTGAAGAAATCTGACAATCACTATCTCAGGTGACCAAGGTTGACTTAAAAAATGACAAATCATGTTGATTTTATCTTTGATATGATGAGATGAAAATGGCACTTTACCTCTGTGACCTTTCTCCCTCAAACCTGTAACTCAAGTCCAATAGTGAGAAAAACATCAGACAGATCCAATAGAGGAGTATCTTTCAAAATACCTGACCAATACTCCTCAGAGGGGTCAGCGTCACTAAAACATTACAAACAAGAAAAGTCTGATAAACTGTCATGGCCAAAAAAAAACCTAAGGAAACATTACAACTAAGTATGATATGGTATTATGGATAATATCCTGGAACAGGAAATGAATAGAAGGCAACAAATAAGGAAATCCGAATAAACTATGAACTCTAGTTAATAATACTGTATTAATATTATTTCATTAATTGTAACAAATTTGCCATGCTAATGCAAGATGCTAATAATGGAGAAAGCTAGGTGTGGGGTATTTTGGAACTCTACTATCCTCTCAATTCTTCCTGTACATGTAAACTGTTTTGGTGCAGAGAGGTTTTAGATTTTCTATCATTTTCTAAAATGAAATATTTTTGTCAGTTTTTGTGTTGCTTTTCCATCAAATTCTACTCCTTTTTTTTTTTAACCTTAACTCTGCAAAGGAGTGCTGTTGGTTTAGGTGGGATGTGAGGACTGGTGACATTAGGGAAGAAAATTTGAAAGAAGTGATGAAAGATACCTAAGAGTGCATAACTCTACTGGACGCAGTTAGGATTGGCAGAAAATCATGGGTAAAATTAATTACTTTCCCATAATAAAGTCAGGAATATGATAAAGAAGATTAGAGAGCTATTATACCAAACATTTGCTGAATCACATCACTTATGTAATGAAATCAACACATCTGTACACAAAAGTGACAAAAATTTATTCCATTTCTAGATCTTATTTATTTATTTAATTTCAATAGTTTTGGGGGAACAGGTGATATTCAGTTACATGGATAAACTCTTTAGTGGTGATTTCTGAGATTTTGGTGCACCCTTCACTGGAGCAGTGTATACTGTACTCTGGTGTAGTCTTTTTATCCCTAACACCCTTCCCATCCTTCTCCCTGAGTCCATTATATAATTTTTATGCCTCTGCATCCTCATAGCTTAGCTCCCACTTATAAGTGAGAACAATGTTTGATTTTCCATTCCTGACTTAATTCACTGAGAATAATGGTCTCCAACACCATCCAGGTTGCTGCAAATGGCATTATTTCATTCCTTTTTATGGCTTAGTATTATCCCATGGTGTGTGTGTGTGTGTGTGTGTGTGTGCATGGTATATATGGAATATGATATACATGATGTGTATTATATATGTATATGTGTATATCATATCTCTCTCTCTATATATATAGATATATGTACGTATAATGTTTTCTTTACCTACTAGTTGATTAATGGACATTTGGGCTGATTCCACATTTTTGCGATTGCAAATTGTGCTGCTATAAACATGCATGTGCAAGTGTCTTTTTCATATAATGACTTCTTTCCCTATGGGTAGATACCCAACAGTGGGATTGCTGGATCAAAGGTAGATCTAGTCTTAGTTTTTTAAGGAATCTCCATACCATTTTCTATAATGGTTGTACAAGTTTACATTCCCACCATCAGTAGTGCAAAAGTGTTCCCCATTTCTAGATCTTTAAAGAATAAGGGAGTTGATACGTGAAGTAAAATATTCTGTCCTTCATGAAAAATGGCTAAAGCTTTCAAATGATTTTGCAGGGTTTCTCTGGTGGCAAAAAAAAAATCATTGTACTAACCAAAAATATAAAGAAATGAATAAAGATTGGAAAAGATTTAGCAACATTGAACCAACTGATGGTGCCAACTGCTCAACTCCCATTTTTAGAATCCATCAGAAAAAACTTTGAAGATTTGATTATATTAAGTGATAAGAGAGAAAAGGGCTTTGGGGCCAATAAAAAAAGTACAGAAATGACTGATTTCTTACACTACTATTTAAATCTGTCTAGCAGAGCAATGGGATTCAAGAAAAAAAATGAATAAGATAACATATTTTCAACGGACACATATATAAGCAGCTGCAAAGTGTCCTGCAAAAGAGGAAAAGAATGACCTCTGTTAATGAGTATCACATATTCTTCAAAAGTTTATAAAATGCTATGCATATAATGCCCATTCCACATACCAAAAAAAAAACCCCTGCTTGATCCAGTGCTGCGAACCTGCTGAAGCTTCAAGCAGACAACTGAATAATTAAACTTTCACAGTTAAATTTTAACAACCTTGAATGTCTCCATTATTTGCCAGAGAAAGAGTGACCAGCGGACTTCATTTTTTTCAACGACTCTTCTCCTTATTTCTGCTTGGCTACCTTCATTACTTTTGGGTCATAAAAAATGTATCACATCATTTCAAAGAATTATCTTAAAATCAAGTATCAATACAAATGTATTAAACAATAATCATTAAAACTAATTTAACAAAAATAAAATATCACTAATTGCTTTTGTGTTTGGTACTATCTTTATTTTTATATTTATTGTGTTTTATATTAGTGTTGTGTATTATTTTTATATAAATATATTTTAACAGTTTAATAAGATCATTCATGAATTCGAAACTCTTGAGCTCATATTTTAGCCGCCCCAAAACAGATCTTTCATTTCTTCAATCAGTGATTATTCTACTAGTTTTAAAAATCTGACCATGATGTTTGGGGAAGAACTCTTAAAACTATGTTATAGATTCCATAGTTATTTATTTTCCAAAAGTCTAGGTTTCTTTCATAATAACTAGTCAATGTCAGGTGTAAGGCTACTTGATTTATTCTCATTTCTTGATTATATTCATAAACAGAAATAAAAATTTTAATCTAAGTTAAACAGGTCAGAGTAGCAACAGACATAAAACACAATGTTATGCTTTTTTTGCTATATCACTGCTTACTAATTTTAATTTTTCATTATTTTTAATCATGGCAAAATATGTAACATAATATTTGTTATTTTAGCCATTTCATAAGTGTTCAATTCAGAGGTATTAATCACATTCACAACGTTGTACAACCATAATCGCTATTTTCAAAATGTTTTCATCAACTCAAACAGAAACTCTGCGACCCGTAGGCAGTAATACCCTCTTCGCTCCTCTCTCAGGCCCTGGTAATCTCTAATCTACTTTTTGTTTCTCTGAAGTTGCGTATTCTAGATATTTCACGTGAGTGGAATTACAAAATATGTGTTTTTTGGTGTCTGGTTATTTAATCTAACACAATGATTTCATGTTTCTTCCATGTTTTAGCATGTATCAGAACCTCATTCTTTTTTATGGATGAATAATATTTCAATATGTTCATGTTGTTATGAATATTATTTATACAATTATATATACAAACATACATATATTTATATGTATAGAATATTATTATATATACAAAAATAAATATATGATATTTAATTGAAATTTTTGAAAAAAATCCTAGATTTGTTCAATGCAAAAATTACTTCTGTTGGAGTAAAAGTTAGTGATAAATAATAAAAGCATATATTTTTATTGTAATCAGTTTTCTCCACTTTTTAAAATCTATGGAGAAAATTATAAACTAACGACATCCAGATAATGAAATATTATTTCTGTATTTTCCCTTTCATTTTAATGTTTCTCTGCCTTTTCAGTATACATTTGCTATTGAAACATAAAACATGCTAACTCAGTGAGATTAAATAGGACCAGAAAAGTTATATAACTCCTCCCTAAGTTTAAGCTTTCTGTGATAAGACAAATATTTGTGGCATATCATAACTCTTATACCTGACAAGACTACAAAATTTTCTACTCAAGATAGATCATAAAATTACAAAAAGATCTATCATTCTGTATAGTTCAGTGTAGCAACTAAACTGAGATAACTTCTGCACAGAGAATGCACTTCTAGGATTGATAGTGGACTCTGTGAAGTTGCCAGTTGTTTTTACTATAATAAGTTTAAAAACAAAGAATATATTTTATCCCGAAGACAGTTTTGGTGAGGTGTTTAAAGCATGGAATACATTTCCCAATGATAGAACGTTTGAAAAATTAGTTCGGTTCTCTATCAATCCTGTTAGTTGATATAGAGCTAAATCTAAAAACTACTGACATTGGGTGACCAAAACTGCTGTTCGATTTTTGTTTGGACCTCTGAACTTTTTATTGGGTTATCCAAAGGACACCTTGCTTCTGCTGCCTCAAAACCTCAGAACTTTAGTGTCATTGGTGGGAGATGCTACTTTGCCGTCCACTATCCTGCAAGTGGTGGTCTTTCAGATGGCTTGCATGGGATTGCTGCTATCCAGGGCATCACCGGGATTGAAGTCCCTCCCATCTTCCAGCAGGCAGCAGTAAGGTGGCCAGCTTAGCCGACACTTTGACCTTGATGTTCAGCAGGCCCTCCTCATATACCTAGGCCTGGCGCCACCCCTCTGCCAGAGTCTGTGCCAGCTCTGACTCCAGGTGCAGCAGAACCCCATTGAGCTTCTCCATCTGCATGGCATTGTGGGCCTCCACCTCCCTTGGGCTGTTCTCCAAGCTGGCCTTAAGATTTCTCATGGAGTCCAGGTTGATCTCCAAGGACTGAACTCTACCTCTCAGCTCCGTGAGCATCACCTTGCATTTCTGATTTTGGCAACTGCATGGTGATGACTGTGGTGCTGTCCTCAATCTGCTGGGACCAGTATTTTCCAGTTCCTCTAGGTTCTTCTGAGCCAGCTCGTCACACTGATCTGCCAGGATCTTGCTGGGGTCCTGAGATTTAGGGACATCTACCTCTATGGTCAAACCAGACCTGGCAAACTGGGCTTTTAAGTCTTTTTGTTTTTTCCTCTTTATGGTTCTTCTTCATGAAGAGCAGCTCCTCTTTGAGAGCCGAGATCTGTCTTCAGCTGCAGATGACTGACATTGGTGTCATCAGTGACCTTCCTGAGCCCATGAATGTGGCTCTCCACAGATGGGCATATGGCCAGCTCTGTCTCCTACTTGACTCTAAAATCATCAGCAGCAAGATAGGCCTTGCCAATCTGCAGAACAATGCAGGCATTGTCCACAGAATTTGCAAAAGTCTGAGCCCTGAAGTCCTCTGTGGTCTTAACATAATGTCCCCAGTCTCTGACCTGGGGCCCCTTCTTCTCCAGATGTTCCCAGATTTTGATTTCTAGCCTCCGATTCTCAGTCTCCAGGCCACCCACTCTGTCCAGGTAGGAGGCTAGGCAGTTATTCAGGCCTGTCATGGCCTCATTCTTACTTTGTATGCCCCACTATTTCTACCAGATCCCCAGTCCCCCAGTCTACCCAGAAGCTGGTGGAGCTGAAAGAAAAGATCCAGGAGCTAGAGCCCATGGCATTTGCATAAAGGATAGACAGACTGCTGGCAAGCAACTGGATGGACCCCATGGGCAGGCAGTTAGTGGAGAAGGTGGTGGAGTGGGTGATGAATCTCATGTCTCGGGGGAGGAAAGCAAGAGGACAGGATTCAGGTTCTGCTGAGCTGCTGTTCAATTTTTTTTTCCTAAGGATATTCTCATTGGTGATTTCAGAAACAACTTTCTTCCTATTTATTCCATCTGGCACTCCAGTATATCTTGCCACCAGCGTCCACACATTATTCTTGGAAGGCAGAGCTCCTATCACCTAGGATTGTTGTGGAAACAGGGATTTAGTGACAGATTAGAAGCAGAAATACTGACTAAACTTAGATATTTGCTTAATTTAATTCAACAAAATATGGTAAACATCATTTATCTGTATTCTGCAATGCTAAGATACAGAGAGAATTTAAAGACAAATGAGACACAGTTCTGGACCTCAAGAAGCTTGCAGTTTATAGAGAGGCACAGAAGATATTAAGATCTCTTGGATAAAAGACTTGGTCTGGAAAGTATCATATACAAATGTCAAATGAAGATATATAAATGGAGACATGAGTACATCTGTTTGAGGAATCCTGGAGGGTTCACAGAGTGGGCAACAGTAGAAATGGATCTTGAATGATCTAGGGACTTCTGAAAATCAGAGTTGAGATTGTGGCCCTTATGGGCAGGAATGCTTAGTAGTCATGTATAGGAGGTTTTGAAGTAAGATGCTATTGGAGGAAACTGCCCCCAGTATTTCAATGTAGGTTCTTTCTATTTTCCCTAATTGTCAGCCGGTCTGAGAAATAAAGAGAAACAGTACAAAAAGAGGAATTTTACAGCTGGGCCACCAGGGGTGACATCACGTATCAGTAGGTCCGTGATGCCCACCTGAGCCACAAAACCAGCAAATTTTTATTAAGGGTTTCAAACCGGGAGGGGGTGTACAAACAGGGAGTAGGTCACATGCTTTAAAGGGCAAAAAGCAGAGCAAAGATCACATGCTTCTGAGGAAACAGGGCAAGGACAAAATCAGAACTCCTGATAAGGGTCTATGTTCAGTGGTGCACTTACTGTCTTGATAAACATCTTAACAGAAAACAGGGTTCGAGAGCAGAGAACTTGTCTGACCTCAAATTTACCATAGCTGGGGTTTCCCAATCTTAGTAAGCCTGAGGGTACTGCAGGAGACCAGGGTGTATCTCAGTCCTTATCTCAACTGCATAGGACAGACACTCCCAGAGCGGCCATTTATAGACCTTCCCCAGGAATGCAATTCTTTTCCTAGGGTCTTAATATTATATTCCTTGCTAGGAAAAGAATTTAGCGATATCTCTCCTACTTGCACATCCATTTATAGGCTCTCTGAACGAAGAAAAATATGGCTTTATTCTGCCTGACCCCGCAGGCAGTCAGACCTTATGGTTGTCTTCCCTTTTTCCCTGAAAATCGCTGTTATTCTGTTCTTTTTCAAGGGACACTGATTTCATATTTTTCAAACACACGTTTTACAATCAATTCATACAGTTAACGCAATCATCCCATTGGACCTGAGGTGATTTACATCCTTAGCTTATGAAGATAACAGGATTAAGAGATTAAAGTAAGACAGGCATAAGAAATTATAAGAGTATTATTAGGGAAGTGATAAATGTCCATGAAATCTTCACAATTTATATTTCCTCTGCTGTGGCCCTAGCTGGTCCCTCCATTCAGGGTCCCTGACTTCCCACAACAAGATGCAGCTTTTTAATTCCTGATTCTGGAAGATATTAGAAAATTAAAGGTAAAAATTATAAAGGAGCAGGACATGGTGGCTCATGCTTGTAATCCCAACACTTTGGGAGGCTGAGGGAGGAGGATTGCTTGAGGCCAGGAGTTTAAGACACACCTGGGCAACATAATAAGACCCTATTTCTTAAAATAAAAATAGCCTGGCTTGGTGGTACATGTCTCAGCTACTCAGGGGGCTGAGGTGACAGGATTACTTCAGACCAGGAGTTCAAGGTTATAGTGAGCTATAATCACGCCACTATACTCCAGCCTGGGTGACAGAGCAAGGTTCTGTTTCAAAAAAAAAAAAGAAGGAAAAAAAAAGAAAACTAAAGAGGGAGAACATCCTCTGAATGCATACTCTCTTGCCTATCTTGCCTATATTTGTGAATATGACAGGCCTGTACACACAATTTTATTGAGAAATGAAAGCCAGTTTGGGAATAACAAACTTTTTTTTCGTCAATACCTGAACTTGAATTTAATTGAATTCAAAGTTTTAAATGAACACTAAGCTAAATATCTATTTTAACTTTAATATCTTTAATAAACTTTGTAGAATTTTCTTATTAAACATTGCATAAGTAATTTCTGTTTGTTACAGAAAAATTAAAGAATGCTAATAAAATAAAGTAATAAATCATTCCAAATCAAAATGTTAGTAACATATGTCAATGTAAGAACAGGCCCTCATTTTTTTTATTACATGATAGGAATGTCCACATAAAAATAAGAAAATAAAAAGCAATTTATCAACATTGAATCTTTGGGAAAGGGACAACATTATAAATTTTGAACAATTTCTGTGTTATTACAGATGAGACTTCTTTTAAGAAGTAGTCTCCAGCTACTAAAAGCAGGCAGCTTTTGGGGAAAGCAAATAAAAAGCACAGAATAACACCACAGAAGTCTTAATTTGAAGGGATGAAGGCCAGAGGAGAAGGTAGATAATGAAAGATGGAGACTGTATTAATGTTGAGTATGCTGACAGAACAGACCCCAAACTTCCAGCGCCAAAAAAAAAAAAAAAAAAAAAAAAAAAAGCCTGGTTTATTTCTTTTCTTTTCTTTTCTTTTCTTTTGGCATAGGGTCTAACTCTGTTGCCCAGGCTGGAGTGCAGTGGCACAATCTTGGCTCACTCTGACCTCTGCCTCCCAGGCTCAAGAGATCCTCCTACCTCAGCCTCCCTAGTAGCTGGGACCACAGGTGCCTGCCCTCATGCATGGCTAATTTTTTGTATTTTTGGTAGAGACAGGGTTTTGCCATGTTGCCCAGGCTGGTCTCAAACTCCTGAACTCAATTGATTCTCCTGCCTTGGCCTTCGCGAATTCTGAGATTACAGGAGTGAGCCACCATGCCCAGCCTATTTCTTTCTCAGCTAATTCTCCTGGCTGTTATTTGGGTTGATAGCTGCATTTTCGTTTTGCAGACATCCAAGGCAGACTGATGGCTACTTTGCCATCTTCAATATGTGGATTCCAAGGTCACCAGGGGCATAACCATCAGCCAGAAATGGAGAATGGACAGCATAGAGGTTGCTCATGGGAGGTTTATTTGAGCCACTTTTGGAAGTTGTACACATGACTTCTCTTTACAGTACCTTCATTAAAACAACCGTGTGTCTACACTCAATTGCAAGGGAGGCTAACTCTAGTCTAGCTGTGTTCTCAAGAAGAGGCAACCAATATCTGTTTATTTGCTTGTGTGTTATCTGTTTGGTGGACAGCTGGCTGTCTCAACCACAGAGATGATTCTACTTTAGGTGGTATTTTCTATTTAATCATGGCATACTGAAGAAAATCTCTGGGTGGACTTCTTATGTCCACTTTATATTGCATAGCTTCTTTTCAGCAAATACATATTAGTATATACATATACATATTAGTAGCAAATATATATTAGTATGCATTATTAGAATAATGAAAAGCTTTTTTTAAATAAGCAAGGTTAATATTACTCCAAATATTATGATCTAGAATACACCCAATGTTAATATTTATGCATATATATATGTCCTTTTAGATAATCTATTTACCTATCATCTATCTGTTTATCTAATAATGCTCCATTGAATTTGTCAGATATTTTGGTTGTCAAGAATAAAGTCAGATCTTGTTATTGTAAGTGAAAATAAATTTATTTTAAGACATCAGATAGCTCACACACTCAGTGAGAGATTCTAGAATACCATGTTCTGCTGTTACCCCAACAGGAACAATGCAGCCAGTAAAACTGCCCAATCACATGATAGAAATATTTCTGTCATCAGAAACTTTTGCTCCACACCAATGATAGTGGGGGAACTGGATACCATATTGTTAGCATAGTTGCTCCAGAAGAACCAAATGCCTCTATTTCCATGCTTTACAGAACACGTGAACTCCCCTCACATAGAGAGCATCTCACAGCATTCATTTTGCATCTAAATCTTGAATATGTGCATATGATTTTTAGAAACCAAATCAAATACTTATATCACTGATATCCTGTAACAAGGAGGATAAGATTTTGCATTAGATTTTAAGCCTTTGTAACACATAGGAAGGCAAATTATGAGTTGTTGAAATAAGAATTGAGTGAACCTATTTAAAATATTTGCCTGCTGGGAGTGGTGGCTCTCACCTGTAATCCCAGCACTTTGGAAGGCTGAGGAGGGTGGCTCCCGTGAACTCAGGAGTTCAAGACCAGCCTGGGCAACATGGCAAAACTCCGTCTCTAAGAAGAATACAAAAATTATCCGGGCATCGTGGCACGCACTTGTAGTGCCTGCTATATGGGAGGCTGAGGCAGCAGGATCCGTTGAGACTTGGGAGGTTGAGGCTACAGTGAGCAGTGATCATGCCACTGGACTCCAGCCTGGGTGACAGAATGAGACCCTGTCTCAAAAAAATAGAATAAAATAAAATATTTTCCAATGAGATTTGTCTCAAGTATTTGTTTCTTAATGGTTATTTTAAAAGCTATTATTGTTATATTTTTAACTAGCCAGCTACTGAACTGTATTCTAGTTTCAAGAGTTTTTCAGTTTATTTTCTGTATGCTTTTTAGATAGAGAATTATATTTGCAATAATGGTATTTATCTTTTCATTTCTAATATTTATACTTTTTCATTTCTTTGTCTATGGCATTAACTATTTTAGCAAAGTTATCCTAAATAATACGTGTTCTTTCAAATTCTCTCTACATAAAAGAGATAAATACTTGATGATACTTGTAGGCATAATGCTTCTTTTTTTTTTTTTTTTTTTTTTTGAGACGGAGTCTCGCTGTGTTGCCCAGGCTGGAGCACAGTGGCGTGATCTCAGCTCACTGCAAGCTCCGCCTCCCGGGTTCATGCCATTCTCCTGCCTCAGCCTCCCGAGTAGCTGGTACTACAGGTGCCTGCCACCACGCCCGGCTAATTTTTTTGTATTTTCAGTAGAGACGGGGTTTCACCGTGTTAGCCAGGATGGTCTCGATCTCCTGACCTCGTGATCCACCCACCTCGGCCTCCCAAAGTGCTGGGATTACAGGCGTGAGCCACCGCACCTGGCTAATGCTTCTTTTAAGTAGATATTTAATAATAGGAAAATATTATTGACTCTAAATGCTTTGCTGACCCTGTTTGCTTAAGGAATTATCTTTACAGTTTGTAAAAGAGAGAACTAGTGGTTCTAAGATTCCAGTATAAAACTAGCAATTAGACTAACTTAAATAAAAAACAACTTTAATTATAATAAAACTAGTTTAAAAGTAGATTAATATAGAGAAGAAAATAAAATCACCAATAATTTCATTGCTCAAGACGACCTGATAACTATATATGCATCTCTGCACACCCTTCCCAAAGCCCCTGCCGACACACACACACACATTTAAAAAAACTGAATCATATGATCATTTGAATATACTATTTAATTATAAATTAAAAGTATATTATTGTGTCAATCATTGTCATTTTATTGCAAAATTTGATATAATTTATTTATTTAATCCAGGAAAGTTTTAACTCCAAACATGTGTTATGGGATACCTGATTTCCCCCAGATCTAATCTACCTCTTCATCCTATTCTGCATTTTAAAAACTCTTCACTGAGATTTTAAAATTTACTAGTCTTCAGTTTTGAAGCCCTTTAAAGGCTGAATTTTTGTTTTATTTAGAGTATTCTAAGTATTTTATTATGGATCAGATAGTGTTTTATAAATCAACATGTGTCTATATTTTATCATGTAGACTGATTAGCCAGTAAGAATAATTTCTTATCTTTATTTTAATTTTTCTGACTTAAAAGTAAAATGGCTAAACTAAATAAATTCCAAATTCATTCAGTCTGTGGAAAAGTAATGATGTGCAAAGGAAAGATTAATCAAAATAAGAACAGATGCAAAAAAAATTTATTAGCTTCCCACAGCATACAACTTTTACAGAACTTTGTGAAAATTTTCCAATATTATGTTAAATTTGTATGATATAACATCAGTAAATGATCCCTTGAGAATATGAATTAATAATAGAAGTCCATTTTTGTTTTAAAGATTTTAGATAATCCTGAAGCAATTCTAGATGCGTAGAAGAAAGTCCTGAGTCTGAGTAAATGAGGCTGGGTATAGGCAGCCAGTCTAAAGAAATTTCAGCAGCAGTAGTAGAAATTTTATGTGTATGTATGTGAAATATATCAGCAATTGTTGTTGTATTTTGAAGAGAATTTTTAACTGTCCCTCCTCAAGGCCCATTAAACTTTCTGTTTGCATTAATTTTGTCTTAACACTCAGAGTAAATCAAATCGAATAGAACTTTAAAATTTTAGTTCTGTGTATAGTTTACATTAATACAGGGTTTTAAAAAATGAAAGTAATAATATTAAAAACTTCAAAAATATGGAAAAGTAAAATAAATGCAAATCATCCTCAGACTTATTATACAATAATAGTAGCATTTCAGAGTATTGTCTTTCATATACACTCAGAATGAAAACATACTAAATATATTTCATTTTAGTATTTTCTTTTCATATAATTTTTAAATGTCTTTCCATGTTATTAAATTTCTTTGAATCACAATTTTTAATTACAGTGATTTATTTTGCACATTTGAATAACTCATATGATCATATTTTTCTCAAAATTGTTGTGTTTATAAAGAAAATGTATAGAAAGTCCTTGTGACTATATCTTTGTATATGTTCTCAGTTGTTTTCTTACAATAGATTCCTAGAATTTGACTTTTATCCAAAATGACCTAACAAAATTTTCCATATCAAAATTTTATTCAAAAATTATATTAAAATATATTTTTGATACAATGCAATTACAAGTTAATAAGACAAAAATCCCCTTATGTTTGAAAATTAAAAATAAAACCATCAAAGTACTTGAATTTAAGCTAAAATAGAAAGCCTATACAATATTTTATATCTTTCCTTTCTAGGAAAAATGTTGGAAGTTAAATAGATAAATAAATAGAAACTAAAACCTCATAGTATGACTTCCATTTCAGGTACTCTTTTTTAAAAAGTGATGACATTGGTATCAGAATGATGCTGGCCTCATAAAATGAGTTAGGGAGGATTCCCTCTTTTTCTATTGATTGGAATAGTTTCAGAAGGAATGGTACCAGTTCCTCCTTGTACCTCTGGTAGAATTCGGCTGTGAATCCATCTGGTCCTGGACTCTTTTTAGTTGGTAAACTATTGATTATTGCCACAATTTCAGAGCCTGTTATTGGTCTATTCAGAGATTCAACTTCTTCCTGGTTTAGTCTTGGGAGAGTGTATGTGTCGAGGAATGTATCCATTTCTTCTAGATTTTCTAGTTTATTTGCGTAGAGGTGTTTGTAGTATTCTCTGATGGTAGTTTGTATTTCTGTGGGATCGGTGGTGATATCCCCTTTATCATTTTTTATTGTGTCTATTTGATTCTTCTCTCTTTTTTTCTTTATTAGTCTTGCTAGCAGTCTATCAATTTTGTTGATCCTTTCAAAAAACCAGCTCTTGGATTCATTGATTTTTTGAAGGGTTTTTTGTGTCTCTATTTCCTTCAGTTCTGCTCTGATTTTAGTTATTTCTTGCCTTCTGCTAGCTTTTGAATGTGTTTGCTCTTGCTTTTCTAGTTCTTTTAATTGTGATGTTAGGGTGTCAATTTTGGATCTTTCCTGCTTTCTCTTGTAGGCATTTAGTGCTATAAATTTCCCTCTACACACTGCTTTGAATGCGTCCCAGAGATTCTGGTATGTGGTGTCTTTGTTCTTGTTGGTTTTAAAGAACATCTTTATTTCTGCCTTCATTTCGTTATGTACCCAGTAGTCATTCAGGAGCAGGTTGTTCAGTTTCCATGTAGTTGAGCGGCTTTGAGTGAGATTCTTAATCCTGAGTTCTAGTTTGATTGCACTGTGGTCTGAGAGATAGTTTGTTATAATTTCTGTTCTTTTACATTTGCTGAGGAGAGCTTTACTTCCAACTATGTGGTCAATTTTGGAATAGGTGTGGTGTGGTGCTGAAAAAAATGTATATTCTGTTGATTTGGGGTGGAGAGTTCTGTAGACGTCTATTAGGTCCGCTTGGTGCAGAGCTGAGTTCAATTCCTGGGTATCCTTGTTGACTTTCTGTCTCGTTGATCTGTCTAATGTTGACAGTGGGGTGTTAAAGTCTCCCATTATTAATGTGTGGGAGTCTAAGTCTCTTTGTAGGTCACTCAGGACTTGCTTTATGAATCTGGGTGCTCCTGTATTGGGTGCATAAATATTTAGGATAGTTAGCTCTTCTTGTTGAATTGATCCCTTTACCATTATGTAATGGCCTTCTTTGTCTCTTTTGATCTTTGTTGGTTTAAAGTCTGTTTTATCAGAGACTAGGATTGCAACCCCTGCCTTTTTTTGCTTTCCATTGGCTTGGTAGATCTTCCTCCATCCTTTTATTTTGAGCCTATGTGTGTCTCTGCACGTGAGATGGGTTTCCTGAATACAGCACACTGATGGGTCTTGACTCTTTATCCAACTTGCCAGTCTGTGTCTTTTAATTGCAGAATTTAGTCCATTTATATTTAAACCAAAGCCGGGCAGAGACACAACCAAAAAAGAGAATTTTAGACCAATATCCTTGATGAACATTGATGCAAAAATCCTCAATAAAATACTGGCAAACCAAATCCAGCAGCACATCAAAAAGCTTATCCACCATGATCAAGTGGGCTTCATCCCTGGGATGCAAGGCTGGTTCAATATATGCAAATCAATAAATGTAATCCAGCATATAAACAGAGCCAAAGACAAAAACCACATGATTATCTCAATAGATGCAGAAAAAGCCTTTGACAAAATTCAACAACCCTTCATGCTAAAAACTCTCAATAAATTAGGTATTGATGGGACGTATTTCAAAATAATAAGAGCTATCTATGACAAACCCACAGCCAATATCATACTGAATGGGCAAAAACTGGAAGCATTCCCTTTGAAAACTGGCACAAGACAGGGATGCCCTCTCTCACCGCTCCTATTCAACATAGTGTTGGAAGTTCTGGCCAGGGCAATCAGGCAGGAGAAGGAAATAAAGGGTATTCAATTAGGAAAAGAGGAAGTCAAATTGTCCCTGTTTGCAGACGACATGATTGTTTATCTAGAAAACCCCATCGTCTCAGCCCAAAATCTCCTTAAGCTGATAAGCAACTTCAGCAAAGTCTCAAGATACAAAATCAATGTACAAAAATCACAAGCATTCTTATACACCAACAACAGACAAACAGAGAGCCAAATCATGAGTGAACTCCCATTCACAATTGCTTCAAAGAGAATAAAATACCCAGGAATCCAACTTAGAAGGGATGTGAAGGACCTCTTCAAGGAGAACTACAAACCACTGCTCAAGGAAATAAAAGAGGACACAAACAAATGGAAGAACATTCCATGCTCATGGGTAGGAAGAATCAATATCGTGAAAATGGCCATACTGCCCAAGGTAATTTACAGATTCAATGCCATCCCCATCAAGCTACCAATGACTTTCTTCACAGAATTGGAAAAAACTACTTTAAAGTTCATATGGAACCAAAAAAGAGCCCACATCGCCAAGTCAATCCTAAGCCAAAAGAACAAAGCTGGAGGCATCACACTACCTGACTTCAAACTATACTACAAGGCTACAGTAACCAAAACAGCATGGTACTGGTACCAAAACAGAGATATAGATCAATGGAACAGAACAGAGCCCTCAGAAATAATGCCGCATATCTACAACTATCTGATCTTTGACAAACCTGACAAAAACAAGCAATGGGGAAAGGATTCCCTATTTAATAAATGGTGCTGGGAAAACTGGCTAGCCATATGTAGAAAGCTGAAACTGGATCCCTTCCTTACACCTTATACAAAAATCAATTCAAGATGGGTTAAAGATTTAAACGTTAGACCTAAAACCATAAAAACCCTAGAAGAAAACCTAGGCATTACCATTCAGGACATAGGCGTGGGCAAGGACTTCATGTCCAAAACACCAAAAGCAATGGCAACAAAAGCCAACATTGACAAATGAGATCTATTTAAACTAAAGAGCTTCTGCACAGCAAAAGAAACTACCATCAGAGTGAACAGGCAACCTACAACATGGGAGAAAATTTTTGCAACCTACTCATCTGACAAAGGGCTAATATCCAGAATCTACAATGAACTCAAACAAATTTACAAGAAAAAAACAAACAACCCCATCAAAAAGTGGGCGAAGGACATGAACAGACACTTCTCAAAAGAAGACATTTATGCAGCCAAAAGACACATGAAAAAATGCTCATCATCACTGGCCATCAGAGAAATGCAAATCAAAACCACTATGAGATATCATCTCACACCAGTTAGAATGGCAATCATTAAAAAGTCAGGAAACAACAGGTGCTGGAGAGGATGTGGAGAAATAGGAACACTTTGACACTGTTGGTGGGACTGTAAACTAGTTCAACCATTGTGGAAGTCAGTGTGGTGATTCCTCAGGGATCTAGAACTAGAAATACCATTTGACCCAGCCATCCCATTACTGGGTATATACCCAAATGACTATAAATCATGCTGCTATAAAGACACATGCACACGTATGTTTATTGCGGCACTATTCACAATAGCAAAGACTTGGAACCAACCCAAATGTCCAACAATGATAGACTGGATTAAGAAAATGTGGCACATATACACCATGGAATACTATGCAGCCATAAAAAAGGATGAGTTCATGTCCTTTGTAGGGACATGGATGAAATTGGAAACCATCATTCTCAGTAAACTATCGCAAGAACAAAAAACCAAACACCGCATATTCTCACTCATAGGTGGGAATTGAACAATGAGATCACATGGACACAGGAAGGGGAATATCACACTCTGGGGACTGTGGTGGGGTCGGCGGAGGGGGGAGGGATAGCATTGGGAAATATACCTAATGCTAGATGACACGTTAGTGGGTGCAGCGCACCAGCATGGCACATGTATACATATGTAACTAACCTGCACAATGTGCACATGTACCCTAAAACTTAAAGTATAATAAAAAAAAAACATTATTCCAGCTAAAAAAAAA